>NC_000006.12:156888971-157040486 GCF_000001405.40 Homo sapiens
AAAGTGAGTGTGGCTCTTTTTACTGTTAAAAATTTTTTCCTGTTTTATATTATTATATCAATAAGGCACACAAACTTATAGGTGAGTTTTTCACTGCTGTGACAGTTTAGGAAAGACCACATTTTAAAATGCCAGCTCTGTTTTCTTCAAGAATAGGCAGTATGAATTATTTAACTCTTAGGCAACCCTCCTACCATACCAAGTTTATATACACTGGAAATATGCTATTTTTTAAGCTATTTTAGAATAAGATTTGTCATCCCTTGTATTAAACAAATGCTCTTCTCTCAGAAGCTGCGGATTTTTTCCTGTTGTTCTTCTATTTTGTCAAAAAACACACTGTAGACTTTATAGATCTGTGGTATCGAATACTCTCGATTGGATCCTCAGGAAGAAAGTGTTTTAAAGTGTGTAATTAGGGCACTTGAGCATAAAACTACAATTATACACTTGCGTGTTAATTTTGTGTACAGTAAGACTTTAGTTCAACACTGGTTGTAAATGAGAGGAAGCATTTGACTGCCAGTGAATGCCTGCATTTTATGAATACTTGAATAAAATCTCCTCTAATTGGCTGACCTGGAAAGAAAGGTGAAAACATCTGTAGTTCAGTGGGAGAGGAGAATACAAAATGTGTACTAGAGATTTCCTTTTCCAGGTACCTCGAAAAGTGATCTCACTCTTGTGTACAGCCGTGTTTGCTGTGCCTTCGGGATCGTTTGTGCTATTCTAGCTGCTGTTTCACAATAAAGGCGAACAGGGTGAAAGCAGTTTAGATAGGCAAAGGAAAAGAATCAAGGGACAGACTGGCATGGACAGTAGTTGGCAAGGAATTTTTGATATGGTTAAAAAAAAGGCTTTGGGCTGATATAATTGACTTGCGTTGGTTGACTATACATTTGTTAATCAAATTCTGTGTACAAGAGTTAGGCAACACTCCTTGAAGCCTGAAGGAGTTAATTTTATGAAAACTAAAGGATGTACCAGTTTGCAAAGTGGATAATAATGTGGGAGAGCTTGTTACCCTAAAGAGATAGCCTGGACTGGAAATATAAATTAATTTAAGAAGTGTATAAATAAATTCATGGATAATAGATTCATAATGGTTATTAAGAGGAAATAAAGGCTGTTCAGGACATATCCCTGACTTCTGGAAATTGAGGTCATGAGAGGCACTACCATTTAGTTCCCACAGCTATATAGAATATTCACTCCGCAGAACATTGGTCTGACCTACTATTCACTTCAGCTGTGATTTGCTAAATATAGAGTAGTTGAACTTAGAATAAGCAGTGAAATTTTGTAGGCAATTAATAATTGTAAAGAAATCCAAGAGGGATTGTATGTGTATGTCTTTATAATCTTATATCGTGTGTACCCTTCTAAGTTTTATAAAAAATTTGTCACGAAAAAGACTTGTTACTGATAAAAAATGAGAACTTTTCAATGTTTCCCAAATCAAAAAAGGTAAATCTATTTTATCCTATGATTTTTTTTAAATTTCTAAGCTAATGGGGAGGGTTAAATTATCCCAGATGTGTTGGTTTCAGAAAGCCTGTTAAAAACTGGCAATGTTTATGGCCCAGAAGTTACCTGTTAGGAAGGAACCAGGGCCCAGGCCAGAACATACTGGACTTCAGAGCAATGTGAGAGCCATGGACCCAGCTTGTGGGTGTGGGTGGTCAGCTAGCCCATTCTGCAGTGTGGGACACTGCCTGACCCTTTTGTATACTTTGCCAACTTCTTTCTCATCCCGGGTCATCTTTTTCCTGTTAGTCAAGAGAAGCCAGATAGAATTGGAGGGAACTTAGCTTTAGTATACAGTGCATACAGTAAGTGCTCAATATACATTTGTTGACTATTTCTCATTTTTCAAGGGTGAAAGGTGAATTTCAGGAAATTGTGGAGTTTTTGTTGTTGTTGTTGTTGTTTGTTTTTTCCTTAGACAAACCTAAGAACAAGATTTATTTTTCTTCTTAAAATAAGAAAGAGGGGAGGAAAAGGCACCTAAGCTGTTTAGGAGTCTCATTTGGGAACTTAGCTTAAGGGACTGTGGAATGTTGAGCAGTTGTAAGATCTTGACCTTGTAAACTTTATTTATTACCTTCTAGCACATTATTTTTGACTGGACATGTTGACATAATAAAATTTCCTTGTGCAATTGGTTCAACCACGCATCAGCTTAGCATCTGAATTTCTTGCTGTGGGGAATTTTCAGTCTGTCTCTTATGCATGAAAAATGGTGTTTGATCTTCCTGTGAAATCAGGAGCCAGCAGGATTTGCCACATGTGAATGGAGCTGTTGTGGACTTAAGATTTTTCTTCTGCTTTTTGCTTTCCCATTTTGTAGAATTTACCTGGAGGGGTTCAAATCTGTGATGAAAAACAAACACATAAAAATTAAGGAGCTTTCTTCTGTTTAAGATAAATTGTTATACTTTTTGATAACTCTTAGACAGCAGCAGTAAATAATCCTAAATAAATTTCATTTTGTTCTAGATTCATGAAAAACAGAGTTGGTTTAAGGAGTGATTTTGGTATATATTCTTTGAGGCTGTTAATTCTTTATACCTATACCACAAACAGATTCTCACATTCAAAAATAACATTATACTACATATGGTTTTGTAGCCTGCTATCTTTAAACCTCAACTCAGTAATATATGGACAGAACTTTTTGTTATTAAATATAGTGTAAAATGAGGATTGTTATTTTTAATGGCTCTATAGTATTTTATTGAATCCTCACCTCTGCTCTTTTTTTTCCCCCCCTCAAACCAGTTCCCTGTTGATGGACATTTAAACATTTAGGCTGTTTCCCTATTTTTGAGTGGAGCAGCAATGAACTCCTTGCTACACATATCTTTGCATACTTGTTTCATACCTTTTCTTTTTCTTTTCTGTTTTTTTTTTTTTTTGAGACGGAGTCTCACACTTTCCCCCGGGCTGGAGTACAATGGCGCAATTTCGGCTCACTGCAGTCTCTGCCTCTCCGGTTCAAGCGATTCTCCTGCCTCACTCTCCTGAGTAGCTGGGACTACAGGTGTGCATCACCACACCCAGCGAATTTTCTTTTTTTTTTTTTTTTCTTTTTTTTTTTGTATTTTTAGTAGTGACGGGGTTTCACCATGTTGGCCAGGATGGTCTCTATCTCTTGACCTCGTGATCCAGCCACCTCGGCCTCCCAAAGTGACAGGCGTGAGCCACCACACCCGGCCTCATACTTTTTCTTAAGATAAATTCCTAAAGTAGAATTTTGGGTTAAAAGAACGTTGTTTCTATACATATTATGACTTGCCTTACATATTTTACTTTGTAAATTCACCATGATTATTTCAGTTTGCCCTGTTGCTCTGTAATATTTTGGATTATGTAAAATGAAAACATAAAAACTCACTGATAAGCATCTAGGATCAGTCATTAATTATAAAACAAAATTTACATCTAGGTCTAAAGGCAAGAAAGATTTAAGCATAAATGTGTTAAAATGTGTGTTATAGAATGATAAAAATGGAGACGAACAGTTTAGACTTCTGTATTAAGTGTATATACATATGCCACCAATATTTTAAAGCTATTATTTATATCCATTAAAATGCCTAAATCTTAAGCATGCAATTCAGTGAGTTTTGACAATTACATACGTCTAGGATACCACTATCCTAATTAGACTATTTCCGTCACTCCTAGAAAATTCCTTCATGTCTCTTTCCAGCCAGGCCCCATATCCCACAATCATTGTTATGATTTCTGTCACAATAAGTTGATTTTGCCTGATTTTGAATTTCATGCAAACAGACCATATGGTGTGTTGAGAATGTATACATTTAATTAGTTCTTTTCAAAAAATAGTTCTTGATGGATGTGTAAATACCAAACTGTACTTCTTAAAACAGAAAGATCCAAAGCTGATGTGAAAATTGTATAGAATAAAAACAATAAGTCTTTCAAAAGAATAAAATTGGACCCTTTGCCTTAGACTATATATAACAATTAGCTCATAATCTATCATAGACCTAAGTGTGTAAGAGCTTAAACAAAGCTATAAAACTCTTTTTTTTTCTTTTTTCTTCCTTTTTTTTTTTTTTTGAGATGGAGTCTTGCCCTGTCACCCAGGCTGGAGTGCAGTGGTGCAATCTTGGCTCACTGCAGCCTCCGCCTCCTGGGTTCATGTGATTCTCCTGCCTTAGCCTCCTGAGCAGCTGGGATCACAGGCACTCATCACCACATCTGGCTGATTTTTGTATTTTCACCACATTGGCCAGGCTGGTCTCGAACTCCTGACCTCAAATGATCCACTCGCCTCGGCCGTCCGAAGTGCTGGGATTACAGGTGTGAGCCACTGTACCTGGCTATAAAACTCTTAAAAGAAAACAGAGGAAAAGTTTGGCACTGCATTTGGTAATTATTCCTTGGATATGACACCAAAAGCATAGGCAACAAAAG
Source organism: Homo sapiens (assembly GCF_000001405.40). Classification (NCBI taxonomy): domain Eukaryota; kingdom Metazoa; phylum Chordata; class Mammalia; order Primates; family Hominidae; genus Homo; species Homo sapiens. The sequence goes on from NC_000006.12 coordinate 156,893,418, forward strand.
AAAGGACAGACAAATTGGAGTACGTCAAAGTTTTAAAAACTTTTGAGCATCAAAGGAGACTATCGAGAGAGTGAAAAGGTATAACCCACAGAATAGGAGAAAATATTTGCAAATCATATATCTGATAGGGGATTAATATCTATATAAAACACTCCTATCAACAGCAAAACAAATAACCTAATTAAAAAAAATGGCAAAGGACTTGAATAAACATTTTTCCAAAGAAGATATATACATGGCCAATAAGCACATGAAAAGGTACTCAACAGCACTGATCATTAGAGAAATGCAAATTTCACAATGAGTATGTTATCACTTCACACCCAGTATTAGTACAGCTGATATTTAATATTAAGAAAAACCCAGAAAATACCAAGTGTTGTCAAGGATATGGAGAAATTGGAAGCTTGCGTCCTGTTGGTGGGAATGTGAAATGGTGCAGCCACTGTGAGAAGCAGTATGATAGTTCTCAAAAAATTAAACATAGAATTACCATATACTCCAGCAGTCCCACTTCTCGGAATGTACCCCAAGACGTAAAAGCAACAATTCGACCAGATATTTGTAAACCCCTATTCAGAGCAGCATTTTTCACAATACTCAAAAGTTGGAAACAGTCGAGTGTTTATCCATGGGTGAGTGGATAAACAGTTATGCTGTATACATTCCGTGGCCTTAAAACGGAATGAAACATGATACACACCACAACATGGATGAACCTTGAATACGTTATGCTAACTCAGACACAAAATAAGCCAGACACAAAGGAACAAATATTGTGTGATTCTGCCTATGTGAGATAGCAAGACTAACCAAATTCATAGAGTCAGAAAGTGTAATGGTGCTTGCCGGGGGTTGGGATGGGGGCCGGGGGGTTGGGATGGGGGCCGGGGGTTGGGATGGGGAACAGAATGTGGGGTTGTTATTTCCAGGGCACAGAGTTTCCATTTGGGATGATGAAATCCTATAAAAGGATGGTGGTGATGGTTGGCCAACAGTGTGAATGTACTTATGCATCATTGAACTGTATACTTCAAATGGTTAAAATGGTCAATTTTGTGTATATTTTAGCACAATTAAAAAAGGTCTTTAGACATGGAAGATAAGGAGAAAGGTGCTCATTCTTTTACACAGCAAAATAGTAGCATGTTAGAATTCAGTAGTGGGGAGTTTTCACCACACTTGAATACGTCTCTGATAAGTTTAGGACAATGCCAAGTATTTCTTTTGTTCATAGATTCTTTTCCTCCAAAAGGAGGAACAAACTGATAATGTAAGTAGATTGAGCTATTCAGAGACACCAGGTCTGTGATAGAAACTGGGGCGTGTTTTAGTATCATAACTTCAAAGCTCACATCAAGGAGGTTCTAATATCTGTTCCAGTGTTTTTCTATGCTTTCCTAGAGATAGAACTGGACTGGACTATAGTTTAGCTCAAGGCAAGCAGCTCTTAACGTTTCCATTGACTGTGGTGTGTGATTTCTATATGTATTTCAGGAGGTTCAGTCAACAGACATTCACCGAGCTCTTAGTACTGGACAGGCATGTGGAATACAGTGATGAACTGAACTAGCAAGGGCCTGTCCTGTGCAGTGGACTGTCCAGTGGTGTGGTGGTGTTCATGGTCAAATGAGTTTGAGAAATCTTGGATGTAAAGGTGGACAAGTTTCCAAACTTTTTAAAGGATTTCACATATCCTTTAATGTGATGATATGGTATGTTTTCTTTTTATAGTATATTTGTTTTTTAAACTTTTTTAAATTATAGAACTCATTTCTGTGTGATATTCTATAGAATTAGTGTCCCTTGTAGGACCCATAGGGAAATTAGTGACCCTTAGGGAAATGCTGGCATAAAGTTCTGTCTGTTAGAGGTTCACCAACCTACAGGACACTTGTTTCCCTTGGGAGGAGATCATAATGAAGGCTTCCTCCTAGTTCTGTCCTGAATGCCCTGATGGCTTGTGAGGAGAGGGACAGTCGCTCAGACACCAGAACTCAGAAGAGCTATGGCCTGGAGTGTCCTAGGTGAAAGGCCTGGGAAGTGATTGGAGCACCTGGTCTTGTAGTCAGGGACTTGGCCTTTGAGCTGAGTCTCTTTTCTCGGAAGGACACCTCCTGGGGTGTCCCCTCCTGCCTTGTGTGGGTGCTTGAGTTTCCCAGGGCCACCTCTTTTTGGGAGGATGTGGACTGGGGTGGAGGCAAAATCTTTATGGTAAAAGTGGAAAATTGTGAAATAATTTAGACATATAGAAAAGTACAGAAGCAAATATAACAGACACACTTGTGTAATTACAGATACAGTATATACAGGTGTATACACACACACACACACACACCCACATACACACAGTATATATAGGTATAAAAATAACATGTTACCCTATTTGCTTCACATCTTTCTTTTTATAAAGGAGCAAAGCATGGCTGAAGCCACGCCCCATAATCCCCAATTCTTTTCAATGCACGTTTCTATACTTTTGCTACATGTGTGTTTATAAACAGTATACACTAATATCTTACGTATTCAAATTTTATACAAATGATATGATACTGCATTAACTTTTTGTTGCTTTCTTTTTAAACTCAACATTGTAGTTTTTAGTTTTGTACCATTTTGATATGTGGCGTCTTACTCCTTTTTTACTACTGTGTAGATTTAATTGTGTGCCTATAGCAAAGTTAACTTTTCCCATTTACCTTCTGTCTTAGAGTTAGATTTTGTCCTCTTCTGTCAATTGTAGTAGACAGGACTGCATTGAATATCCTTCCTGGAACATGTGTGTTTCATGGTTATATACTTAACAAGGCGCATGGCCGGGTCATGGGGTCAGTGTACCTTTAAACCTAGTAAGAAACTGCTCTCTAAACTTCTTTAGGCCAGGCTCAGTAGCTCATGCCTCTAATCCCACCAGTTTGGGAGCCCAAGGCAGGTGGATCACCTGAGGTCAGGAGTTCGAGACCAGCCTGACCAATATGATGAAACCCATCTCTACTAAAAATATATAAATTAGCTGGTCGTGGTGGCCCGCTCCTGTAATCCCAGCTACTCAGGAGGCTGAGACAGGAGAATCACCTGAACCCAGGAGGCAGAGGTTACAGTGAGCCGAGACCACACCACTGCACTCCAGCCTGGGCAACAAGAGCAAAACTGCGTCTCAAAAAAAAAAAAAAAAAAAAAAAAGAGGACACAGTGGCTCACGCCTGTAATCTCAGCACTCTGGGAGGCCAAGGCAGGTGGATCACGAGGTCAAGAGATCGATACCATCCTGGCCTACATGGTGAAACCCCGTCTCTACTGAAAATACAAAAATTAGCCTGGCGTGGTGGCATGCACCTATAATCCCAGCTACTCGGGAGGCTGAAGCAGGAGAATCACTTGAACCTGGGAGGCGGAGGTTGCAGTGAGCTGAGATCGTGCCACTGCACTCCAGCCTGACGACAGAGCGAGACTCCACCTCAAACAAAACAAAAACAAACTTCTTTAGAAGGAAAAAGGGGGAGAGGGTAACCTTTGATCATTTCACTCATTTTGGAGGATGAGCAAAAAGTTCAGGGTATGGTGAAATGAAAAATGAGTCCTGACCCTGCATATTTAACGTGATACAGAAATGTGAAAGGTAGTACTTGCGTTCTTTATTGGGATAATTTTCTAAAATAAATATGTAAGTGAATCATTTTTAGCTATAAATTTTTTGTTGTTGTGTGTGTTCATGTCTTAAAGGTCTTCTTTATTTAGAAATGAGTGAAGCAAATTCTTCTTTTGCTGCTGCTACTGCTGCTGCTGCTGCTGCTGCTGCTGCTTCTTCTTCTTCTTCTTCTTCTTCTTCTTCTTCTTCTTCTTCTTCTTATTATTATTATTATTATTATTATTTGAGACAGAGTCTTGCCCTGTCGCCCAGGCTGGAGTGCACTGGAGCGATCTCAGCTCACTGTAACCTCCACCTCCCAGGTTCAAGCGATTTTCCTGCCTCAGCCTCCCTAGTAGCTGGGATTGCAGGTGTGTGCCACCACGCCTGGCTAATTTTTGTATTTTTAGTAGAGACGGGGTTTTGTCATGTTGCCCAGGCTGGTTTGGAACTCCTGACCTCAGTTGATCTGCCTACCTTGGCCTCCCAAAGTGCTGGGATTATAAGCTTTAGCCACTGCACCCAGCCAGATTCTTATTTTTAAATAACAAATGGAAATGTTCTGATCTGAGGCATTTTTTTTTGAGATCTCCATTTAGTTCAGTTTTGCAGGTTTTAAAAAATATATATATATATAGTTAGAACTGTGTTCGAGGCAAAGCATGCACTGGACAGTCAGGACTTCCATGGGCCAGCAGTTTTTGGCCAAGGACACCGTGCTGCTGTTAGTGTACCATTCAGTGGCTGTAGATGAAGCTGAACACGTGTGTCAGATTTGGGTAGTTCAAGAGATTTCCATATTATAATGTGTTCCTTGATTCGTTAAAATTTTTCATATAATAATAGCTTGCTTAATAATCATTCAACAGTACTTATCATTCAACAGATGTTTGTTGACGCTCAGATCCTTTTCCAGGAGCTTATATTCTAGTGATGAGGACAGATAGTAAACACGTGAACACGTAGTTAAGTGTTTCACTACATAACTAAATCAGTCTCCCCTGTGATAAGATCAGGTTGGTCAAGGCACGAGAGTGACCATGGTTAGGGTTAGACTGGGGAGGGAGGGCCGCCCGAGCTACCAGTGCTCTATGTCTCCAGCTCCCAGCAACTGCTGACTAGCGCTCAGTAACTGTTGGTTGCATGTCACTTGCATGCAACCGTCTGGTTATATGAGTTATCCTGCATATGGTTAAGAATGAAACGACTTAAAAACTCTCAGCAATCAGAATAGGGTTTGCAAAGCTTGGGACAGTGAAGCTCAGGTGCTTTCCTCACGCATCGGTCCTTTGGGCCCTCCTTGTGTGGGCAGTGTGTGTGGGTGTCTTGGTCCTCAGCATATTAGAAGCCTAACTGGGTTCAGGTGGGGGTTGAGCTTGAGCGGTGAGCAGTGCCAGAATGCCCTGATGGCCTGTGAGGAGAGGGACAGCCGCCCAGATGCCAGAACTCAAAAGGAGCTGTGGTCTGCAGCATCCAGCAGAAGGCTCTGGGGCCTTCCATGTCCTTTGGGGCAGGCTGTTGATTTGTGTTTCATAATACTATTCAGTTTCAGAAGTCTGAACAGCATATAGTAGATCTTTCAAAGCCTTGCATCTGAATGCATTGACAAAAAAACAATAATGATCATTAAAGAATTAGATTTTAAGCAGGGTGCGGTGACTCACATCTGTAATCCCAGCACTTTGGGAGGCTGAGGTGGGCGGATCACCTGAGGTCGGGAGTTTGAGACCAGCCTGACCAACATGGAGAAACCCTGTCTCTACTAAAAACACAAAATTAGCCGGGTGTGGTGGCTCATGACTGTAATCCCAGCTACTTGGGAGGCTGAGGCAGGAGAATCGTTTGAACCCAGGAGGTGGAGGTTGTGGCGAGCCAAGATCGCGCCATTGCACTCCAGCTTGGGCAACAAGAGCAAAATTCTGTCTCAAACAAGCAAACAAAGAGTTAGACTTTAGCTTCAGTCAGCTGGGATATTCTATCGAGGAATTGGTTTTTAAAGGTAACATTTAGGAAATAATTAATATTTTACAGAGAGCACTACAACTTCTAGTTTAATAAGTCATAATGGCACCTGTATAGACTTGCAGGTGGGACTGGGCAGGGCATCTATATGACTTAGGAAGGCAGTCCTGTTTGACAGTTGGAGATGTAAGGCAGAGTCATGTGACTGACCGTATTCACACAACTCACGTGCAAAGGGAATTGGACTTAGAGTCCATGTATTTCAAACCCAAAGATTCTTTGGGTAAACTAGAGTTGAGCAATCCGTCCCATCATGGCTCCCATTGAAGGACAGCTGACCGGGTCCAGTTGGTTGGCACTGGGCCCCAGGTCTCAGGGAGAGCCCCTCTGTGCTGTTACAGGTTTCCTCAGCCCAGGCTTACAGAAGGTGGGGTGCCAGCAAAGTTGGTCCTAAATGGATGAATGAGCCGTGTGTCTAAAAGGATAGCAAATTGGTTTTAATCGTGAAGGAGCATATTTGAGGGCACCCAGGTCTCGGTTTGCTCAGTCGTGTAGGTGGTTGCTCCAGTGAAGATTTCTTAGCTGCGCCCACCTATCCTCCTCGCCCCACACCCTGCAGCCAAACTTCCTGGAGCTGGACTAGGTAGTAAAAAATTCTAGTCAGCTTGTGGCTGCTCTAGTGTTAGTAGGTTCTTGCAATCTGTCCTGTTGTTGTGTTGCTTAGAAAACAGCGCCCCCTCCCCAAACAACACTTCCATATTGTGTGTGAGGGCTTCTGTAACCAGAAAGTCAACATATTAAAGCGCAATTCATAGGGGAGTTGCTGGCTGTGTTGACTGAGCTTTACAGTCATTTTAACACTGGCAGAAGTGTTATCCTAACTGCTTTAAATCAAACTGCAAAGATGCTTGTGTGAAATATAGTATTAGATATCAAATCAAACATATGGGTGTTGAACGGAAGGATGTGTGTTGTAGTGGTATATGGTATTCTAGCATGTGGAGTTGTATTTTATGGAAATTCGTTGGCTTGGCTTATGGCAGGGACATAACATTCATTATGAGATATCAAGCTGTAAAATAAATAAAAGCAAAAAATTCAACTGTGCTGTTAAATGGCTTGCAATGCAGACTTTTCTGCTCCAACAACTTAGGCTCTGTGTGATGAGAGGCATTGTGAGCCGTTATGGTCACATTTAATCTCATCCTCTTTGGTAGATCTTGAAAATAATCTGGATTGGATTGAAAGAAATATAGGAACTTTAACTTTTTCATTTTTTCCCCTTTTACCCCATTGTATATGTTAGGAATTACTGTGCTGATTTTTCTTAGAGGCTAAATGTTTTACTCTTTTCATCTTTTACCATTTCATCTTTTTCCTCATTCAGTATTTCTATAGTGGATTTGGGTTTTAAGTGTGTATCTGGCACTCATTAATTTCTTAAGTGTGTGTGCTTATGGGGCTCAAGTTCTTGAAGTTCTCCAGTGGACCATATTGTGGTATGAAACAAAATGACTTTGCCATTCTTGTCTCTAGAGTGCTTTTTGCTGTCCTGATATCTTGTTTTTCTTTTCCTTTCCTGCTCTCTCTTGAAATTACAGAAAAAGGCAATAGATTTCTCATTAAGAAAATATTCAAAAATACTATCCATGGTATATTTATTGCATGAGGAAGGATTTTCCTGTAAACAATGCTTTCAGGCATTTTTAGGCTGATGTAAATTAGAGATGGAGAAGATTGATTGAGGCCATTTTTGTCTATACCTCTGGTATTTGCACTGTAGTACACCTTGCTTTACATTGTTACCTGTTTTATCAACTAAGAAAATGCCATCCTTAGCAAAAATAGTAAATAAAATTGATAATTTAACTGGTATATATGTGCTGTAAATGCCGTTGGTATATTCTGACTTTTTCATTCTGAACTTAGAAACAAACATACACAAGAAAGCACCCAAACCACAGGCCTTCTGTAAAGTATTAGTGAGTTAATTTGGACTGTTTGAGTTCACTTTTTCACTGTTGTGTGGGAATGGATTTCATATCATGCTTCTCTTTCTTAGTAGAGGCTATTTTTTAGTCTCAGTATTTAGCACTTCCTCCCCTCTCCACCTTTATGATATTATCAATAGTTTCTATCTGATAGAATATGATGGTTTTTAAAGGCAAAGCAGATTGCCTTTTGACTTCATTTATAGTATGTGAATAGAAAGCAGCGTGTCGATTTGTTTAAGGAAGAGAGGATTAGAAATATTGAGTTTAGTTGCTTAGCAGAGAACCCCCTTCATGTTGCTGAATTGAAACCATATTTGATTTCATTTAATTGCACATTTTGACTTTCTCATTTGCTTTGCTTGACTTTTTGACAGATGCCACCTCAGTATGGACAGCAAGGTGTGAGTGGTTACTGCCAGCAGGGCCAACAGCCATATTACAGCCAGCAGCCGCAGCCCCCGCACCTCCCACCCCAGGCGCAGTATCTGCCGTCCCAGTCCCAGCAGAGGTACCAGCCGCAGCAGGTGAGCACAGTGCACTGCCCCGCAGGGCCCTGTTTTCTCCACCAAGGCAGACCCGGCTCTGAATCATCTTCCTGTCCTTTATTAAAAATTATGTTCTGGTGGAAAAAAAATTAGTTTTGAGAAAATGCATAACTGTAACCTAATCTAACTCCATCTCTCCCTCCGTCTTTTCCCCTTTTGAGATTGGAGGGTGAGAAGAATGACTGGTTTAATAGCTGCTTGCATTACTGGTTAGTGGCAGCAGAAAGTGTCAGTCATTGCTTGTTCCCTGTCATTTGTGTTCTGAACCTTTCAAGAAAGCACTCTGCCACTTTGTTAAGGCTTATTCAGGAGAAGGATTTTATCAATCATTTAATCCTTCTAGTTGGCACGTGCATGGTATTTTTATCTTGACCTTTGTTTTGTTTTGTTTTAATGGTAAGTGCTACTTTGTGAAAACATTGTTGCCTTTGACTGTGTTATTCTATTTAAACTAGCTTATAAGTAGATATTCACTTCAGTTGCAGTATATTAAAATACTAATTGGAATCATGTACTTTAAATATATCAAGCAGTTTCTAGTTTAAATTAGTCTCATTAAATACTCCTTTAGGTTACTGGGTTATATATTTCAGCTTACAGAATTTGTGGAAAAATAGTATATATGTTATTTGATAAAATGATTCAGTTTCCTTATGTTTTAGAGACTGTCACTCATGAGTGACATGAAAAGAAGTAGTGAGTGAGGGACTCTTACTCTGAATCCAGATAAAATGTTCGTAGCACATCCAATCATAAACATCAAAATATAATTTTCCATTTTAATACTTCCTTCCTTCTCTTTTGTGTGGTGGAGGTGGCAAAGAGAAGGTGAACACATGTAGCATCGACTTTTTCCTCTTTAAAGGACTTCTTTTGTGGCTTGAATAGATCGTGGATATTAAGCAAAATAAATAAATTTACGGAGCTTAATTTTAATCAGTTTGGCTGGTTTCTTACATATTTTCTTGGGTTTGTTGGAGTCCCTTTCCGTATGACTTACTAGAGAATTCTAAAGAGAGTTTATGATTTGAAGCAAAACATGTTAAAACAACAGCTAGGATTCGAGACCCAGTACAATCTTGTTTTTACATACATGTATTTAAAAGCTTGAACCCGGGAGGCGGAGGTTGCAGTGAGCGGAGACCACATCACTGCACTCCAGCCTTGCAACAGAGTGAGACTCTGTCTCAAAAAAAAAAAAAAAAAAAAAAAAAAAGTAACATCTGTGGGGTTTGTAGCAGTAGGAATGTACATCATTTCATAGTTACCTGGTCAAGTCTTTTATTAAAGTGTATGAAAATTTTAAAACACTTTAATATAATTTCTTTTTAGATGAGCAAGGCTGGTATCTGGAGTTTTGATAAAGTTATAACCTTTTTCAAGGGGCTTTCAGAGCCTTATTGAACTTATCTGTAGACACAGAGTGTTTTGTCATGTCATCAAAATTTAAGGAGTCAATAGATAAATTATATTACTCATTTGACTGTAGTGTGCTGAAATGAATCTCTGATCATAAAACCGATTTGATTAATGATTCTAAATGCCTGTCATTTTCTTCAAGACCAAGCTCAAAATTTACTTCCTTTAAAAATTATTCACTGATGACTTCCAGCACATGGCAATTAGTTATTTAATATCTTTCATATTTAAATATTTAAAGCATACTACAAGTAAAATCTTATTTTAATGAATATTATTTTAATGTGCTTAGTTTCAGTCTATCTTATGCTTTGATTATTGCTATCATTTTATTGATTTGAATACAATAAATTATATGGTAAATACTCTATAACCATGACTTTTTAAAGTAATTGTAATAATTTTTGTATATTCTGAATAAAACCAAACATTGCTCAAAATACATTGGAAATTTTTTCTTGGGTTTGTACTCCCTAGCTATAAAATGTCTGAGTTATATTCATTGTGGGGCAGAGAGGTGAAAGTTGGAGACATTTGAGTGGCCTAATCAGATGGTCTGGTTTGACAGGAACAGTCCTGGATTTTAGGGAGTTGGATGGGAGATAGATTTGGAAAGTTTCTCAAAAAAGTGATAACTTGCATTATAGATATATTTAGCACCTCCAAAACCTAAGTAATCCCCCTAAATCTATCCTGAAACAAAGTAAAAATTACCATTAAAGTATTATCAAAATCAAGCTAAATCTTAATAACACTGAATTCATATACCTTTAAAAACTTAAGAAGCTCAACCATATTTAACCAGCTAGTATTTCATAACGACCAGAACATTTCTTTATGCAGTCTTTCCTTTTGTTTTCAAATGTGGTTTATGTAATCTCTTGCTTTTGTATAAGGCAGGCAGTTAGCAAGTATTAGTAGTACTTGGTGTCTTGTTAATGCGATTGATACAGATGGTATAATTTTAGGGTTCCATCAAGATACCTGACTTTGTGTCTTCAATATTTTTCATATGTTTAATGTTTTAACTAATCAATACATTTATTGGTTTGAAAAAATAAAAAGTACAAGGAAGGGATTCCGAGAAAAGTCTCTTCCCGTCTTAGTTCCCTCTGCCCATGTCACCACCCCCGTTCTTGACTGGATAACCATTTATAGTTTATTGTATGTTTTTCTAGAGTTTCTTTATATCAAGAAGCACAATACCATACTTTTATTTTTACCCTATTTTTACACAAATGATGGTGTATATAGTATATACTACATGCCTTCTTCCATATTTTTTTCCTCATCCCCTTCTTTTACTCACTTAAATATATTTTCTAGAGATCTTTCCAAAGGAGCACATACAGCAATCCCTCATTCATTTTTATAGCTTCATTACATTTTATGGACATACCATGATATATTTAACCAGTTCTTTTTGATGGACATTTAGATTAGTTCTGGTTATTTGAATTGAAACAATGATGCCATGCTAAACTTTGTGTATGTGTCATAAGTGGGCAGTAATATCTGCAGGATGAATTCTGGAAGCCACAGTGCTGGGCAAAGGGTGTGTGCATCTGCATTCCCAGTGGGTATTGCAGGTTGTAGCCAATTCACACTCCCATCTGCACGTGAGAGGACTCTTCCTACATATGTGCCAGTAGCATGGCTTTACAAAGCTTCTGGATTTTTGCCAATCTGGTACAGATTGAGCACCCTAAATCCCAATGTCTGAAATATGAAATGCTCCAAAATCTGAAACTTTCTGGATGCCAACATGACACCACAAGTGGAAAATTCCATATTTGACCTCATGTGATGGATCACAGTCAGAACACATGTAAAACATTGTTTCAGTCACACAAGTATTTTAAAACATTGTATAAAATTGCCTTCAGGCCATATATGTAAGGCACGTTTGAAACATAATGAATTTCATGTTTAGTCTTGGGTTCCATCTCTAAGATATCTCATTTGTGTATATGCAAATATGCCAAAATCTGAAATACTTCTTTTTCTAAGCATATAGTTTTAGTTTACATTTATCTTGTTATGAGTAATGTTGAGTGTTGTCTTGTGTATTTAAAGGCATTTGTGTTTCCTTTTTCCTGAACTATAAATTTATATATATTTTGAATTTTCTCTCTTCAGTTGTTGGTCTTTAAAAATTATTTTTAAAATCCTTTGTATATTAGGGAGACTGGGCCTTTGTCTGTAATATGAGTTATTAACTCCAGAGGACTGGAATCAATAGAATAGAATAATAGAATAGAATCAATTGTGCTCACATATGCACGCACACACACACACACACACACACACACACACAGATTTATTATAAGGAATTGGCTCATATGCTTATGGAGTTTTGCATTTCCGAAACCTGCAGTATGGGCTGGCAGGTGGTAAGCCGATGGTCTGATGAAGTCAAAGACAGCTTGCTGGAGAATTCCTTCTTGCTTAGGTGGGGCTGGTCTTTTGATTATAGTTAGGACTTCAAACTAAATGGATAAGGCCCACCCACATTATGGAAAACAATCTGTTATTCTCAGAGTCTCCGTTGAAATTGTTAATTCCATTTACAGTACCTTCCAAGATCACATGTAAAATCAACCATTGCAGCTACCTTTCCCTGATGCCACTAAAATCATTAACTGAATTTCCTTAGGTATATGGTGTTTGGGGTCATTTTGGGATTTCTGTTATTCTCCATTGGCTCTTCTATGAATGCATTAGTATTGTACTGTTTCTCTATTATCTTTTAGTATCTGATGGGGTAGTATATCCTCATTATCCTTCTTTTTCAGTTGTTGGTTTTCTTTTTCCTTTTGCTATTCGTATGTGCTTATTTTTTCCTATAAACTTTTTCTTTTTTTATCACGCTATTTTCTAAGAATTTTATCTTTTGTTATTGTTATAATGGGATCTTCTGTGAAACAGGGTACTTAGAAAAGAATAAAGATAAGACACACAGAAGCACTTTACTTGAATAGCTTTTTCCTTTTTGGAGCCCACTGACCAAAGATGAGAAATATCCCTGTAATAAAAAGATGTGTTTGTTTAGCTTAGGTGGCTGCAGGCCAGGGAGGATGCAGTCCTGAGGAGCCCCAGGAGCACTGTGGAAAGGGGGAGGTGGGGCTGTAGTAGGGTTGGGGTGTGTGTTAGATGACTCTTAAGAGGGAGTGGCATCATGAGGAGGGGTGGTCCTCAACTGGCTGCTCTCAAGAAGCTGGGGGTACTTTTGTGATTAGGTATTTTAATTTTTATCTAGGAGACAGGAGGATTGAAGTGGGGCAGGGTTGTCATTGGTAAAGAAGCACCAGCCACCTCATGCCTGTAATCCCAGCACTTTGGGAGGCCGAGGTGGGTGGATCACCTGAGGTCAGGAGTTCGAGACCAGCCTGACCAACATGGAGAAACCCTGTCTCTACTAAAAATACAAAATTAGCTGGGCGTGGAGGCGCGTCTGTAATCCCAGCTACTCGGGAGGCTGAGGCAGAAGAATCGCTTGAACCCGGGAGGCAGAGGTTGTGAGGAACTGAGATCGTGCCATTGCACTCTAGCCTGGGCAACAAGAGCGAAACTCCATCTCCAAAAAAAAAAAAAAAAAAAAAAAAAAAAAGCACCAGCCACTTAGAAAAAGAAGCGGGGATGTTTGTCATTTTTGTCATCAGCAAGTGGCCTTGGGCACCTGTTGTTTCGGGCACTGTTGCTGTGCTGTAGAAACCATGCAGTCCGCTGGCTCTTCTGCCTGGTTTTCCAATGCTTGCCTTTGCCCATTTCCACTCCACCATCCCTGCCTCTCCTGCATGGGATAGCTTTCCATCTCTCCATTTGTTGAGGTACTTTTCAGTTTCTTTTATAACATTCTTCAAAAAGAGCTGCTGTATTACTTTTGTTAGGATTATTCTTACATACCTTATTTTTTGTTGCTATTGTAAATGGTATCCTTTAAAAAATTACATTTTCTCATTGTTACTGGTGTATACAAATGTAACAGACTTTGTATATTAACTTTGTGTGTGTGTCCAGCCACCTTTTAAATTCTTGCTAATTCTGCTAATTCTAGTGATTTGTGAAGTCTCAGGTTTTTTAATTAAAATAATACTTTAAAAAATCACTGCCTTCCTGCTTTTTTGCCTTTCTGCAGACTGGCTCCCCTGTATGCATTCTTTGAAACGGCTGGCTGTTCCTGTGTTATCCCTGATTAAATGAAGGCTTCCAGCATTTTGTCATTTAATACAATGTTTCCCCTTTCTTTTCTTTCTTTTCTCTTTTCCCTTTCTTTTTGTAGCTGTCCACTGTTGGGCTAAGGAAGTTCCCTTCTTTTCTAGTTTGCGAAGAGATTTTTTCATGAGTGGATACTGAATTTTATCTTCCGTCTTTTTTGAATCTATTGAGATGATCACTTTGTATGTATTGAGATGATCACTTTGTTTTTACTTATAATCTGTTTTTGAGGTAAATTACCTTTTAAGTATCAAATGAAACTCACATTCTATAATAAACATAGCCTCATGATATATTGTCTTTTTTATTCATCACTGGATTCAGTTTACTAACATTTGTTTTAGGTTTCTTGAATCAGAAATTCATGAATTAGACTGAACTGTAATTATCCTTGTTAGGTTTTGGTATCTGTACTTTTCGAGCTTTGAAAATGAATTGGAGGCCAGGCGTGGTGGCTCATGCCTGTAATTCTATCACTTTGGGAGGGCAGATCACCTGAGATCAGGAGTTTGAGACCAGCCTGGTCAACATGGTGAAATCCCATCTCTACTAAAAATGCAAAAAAAAAAAAAAAATTAGCCAGGCATGTTGGCACACATCTGTTATCCCAGCTACTTGGGAGGCTGAGGCACGAGAATTGCTTGAACCTGGGAGGCAGAGGTTGTAGTGAGTCGAGGTCGCGCCACTGCACTGCAGCCTGGGCGACAGAGCAAGACTGTCTCAAAAAAAAAAAAAAAAAAAGAATTGAAGATGAGTCCCTTTTTTAATTTACTGAAAGAATTTGTGTTGTTATCTGTTCTCTGAATGTTTAGTAAAACTGTTTATAAAGCTATAAAGGGTTGTATAGCTCTTTATCTTTACCTTTTGTCTTACCCCTGATTTTTCAACTTTTTTAGTAGAGATGTTGAGGTCTTGCTCTACTGCCCAGGCTGGTCTCTAACTCTTGGCCTCAAGTGATCCTCCTACCTTGGCCTCCCAAAGTGCTGGGATTACAGGCATGAACTACTGTGCCCAGCCATTTAAAATTTTTGATTTCATTTCTTTTGTCAATATAGGCATATTCAAGTTAAAAATTTCTTCTTGTGTGAGTATTGCTATATATATATTCCTATGTATAGGAATTTGTCCATTTCATATAATTTTTCAACTTTATTAACATAAAGTTCGTAATAGCCTTTATTACTTTAATCTCTGTACCATCCAGAGTTAAGGCATTTTAATTCATAATGGTTTTTCTTCTTTTATTCTTGATAAAACCATTTCCAAAGTGACTTGGTCTTTATTGTCTGTATTGTGTGTCCTTGTAAACAAACTTAATGAAATTCTTCTCTCACCTTGATTACGTCTTGCTTTCTACTTTATTGATGTTTATTTTGCTGTTCTTCCCCCCCGCCCCCACTCAAGTGAATGCTTACTTTATTTGAACATTTTTTGTTTGATGAAGCTAAATATGAGACTAAAATTTTTTCTCTTAAGTACTGCTTTGGCTGAATCTTTCAACTTTTGATATGTATCATTTTTGTTCTCTTTTAGTTCTAAGAAATTTCTTGTTTTTCTAAATTGCTTATTTTTTTTTGAAGACATTTTTATTGAGGCCTGGGTTTGCATTCTGTTTCCTCAGAAGGATTGATTGGTCTTTGCTTTTGCCAGGTGCCTATGGGTACCAGTTATCTTGAACAATGTTTTGTGTTTGATTTTGTGAAAGTTTTATTACAAGAAGAATATACAGATACACAGAATGACATAATGAGCACTCCTATGCCCTCACGTAGTTTTAATATTACCAATATTTTCCCATGTCTGCTGCCCTGTCTCATCTTTTCCTCCTCTTCCGACTTTCTTCAAAGTATTTTAAGTCACAGATACATTTCTTCTCAAAATCATTCTGTATGTGTGTATAAAACGTAAGGGCACTTCTTTTTTTTTCTTTTTTCTTTCTCTTTTTTTTTTTTTTTTTTTTGAGACAGAGCCTCGCTCTGTCGCCCAGGCTGGAGTGCAGTGGTGCAATCTTGGCTCACTGCGGCATCTGCCTCCTGAATTCAAGCAATTCTCCTGCCTCAGCCCTGTGAGTAGCTGGGATTACAGGCGTGCACCTCCACACCTGGCTAATTTTTGTATTTTTAGTAGAAACGGGGTTTCACCATGTTGGCCAGGCTGGTCTTGAACTCCTGACCTTGTGATCCACCTGCCTCGGCCTCCCAGAGTGCTGGAATTACAGGCGTGAGTCACCGCATCCGGACAAGGGCGTTTCTTATATAACAGCAGCTCTGTTACCACATCTTATTAAATTAAATATAATTCCACTTGTCTACAAACCTAGCCATGTTCAGATAGCCCCAGTTGTCT
The DNA here is from genome assembly GCF_000001405.40 of Homo sapiens. Taxonomy (NCBI): domain Eukaryota; kingdom Metazoa; phylum Chordata; class Mammalia; order Primates; family Hominidae; genus Homo; species Homo sapiens. The sequence continues at coordinate 156,909,530 of NC_000006.12, forward strand.
TCAGAATACCCTTCTGTATCATTCGTTTCAAGCAAAATTTAAACAAGATTTATTACATTGATTTGGTTCTGAAGCCTTTTTATCTAGGACAGTTTCTCCTCCCCAAAATTTGTGCCTTGACCTCTTGAAAAACCTGGGTCAACTGTCCTGTGGAATGGCTTTATCTGCCAGTTTTCTCTTGATGTGGCTTAACTTGCTCATCTGTTTCCTGTACATTGCAAGTTAGATCCACAGGCTTGAAGATAAACATTTTATTTGCAGTCGTTGAAAATCATGTTCCCAACATCTTAGGCCTGCCCTTGTTCACAGGATGGGTCTGTGATCCTCCTTTTGAGCGAAGAGCCTCTAGGTGGTTCTAGCCCCCACCTTTCTTGTGACCATCAGCTACAGCTGAGGCTGAAGAGACATTGTGATGGACAGATAAAGCTTCCCTTTGTACCCTCTCCAAATTGCTCACTAACTACATTGGTGAGCACAACACATGCTGGTGACCCTAGGCCACTGAGTTTGGGGTGGTTGTTACCCGTCATTTCTGACTGACTTGGTCTGGATGCTTCATAGGCGATGCTGTGCGTTTATTGTATCAGATTGAGCGTAATGTTTGGTTGTCCCACAACAGTGAAGTTAAGATTAATTAGAGGGTTTAGGTGATGATGGTCTCTGGGGCTGTTCTAAATGAAGTATCTTCTTGAGGTTTTGTAGACCACACCATTAAGTGTTAATTTTGACCAGATACCCTGGTGATGGTTAGCTTGTGGTTGCTATTTCTTAAAGGAGCCACTTATTCCTGCTACCTCTGCATATCAAGTTCAAGACAGGTATTTCTCTTTTCTGTTTAGTGGGGTTGCAAGCTCTTAAATGATGGGTATAGCCCTTCTTGGTCCTTAATTTAACTGAGAGGTGTTGTCTTGTATTTTACTCCCTTTTGGCAGGCCCTGGACTTCCTCTCCTTTTCCCTGTTCTCGAATAGTTGTCAAAGGGAAAGTTAGAATCTATAGCAAAAGTTGGCTTCTATTGCTCTCTTGGTTTCTCTGTTCTCGGTCTGCTCTCTGGGTGTTCTTCATGTTACTCACATTTATGGCAAGTCTGGGATTCATTTAAAAAGGATTAGAAAACGCATTTTATCCAGTATTTTGGGTTTTTCAATCAATAGCTATTTAGAGCATCTAATCTGCCATACTGCTGGAACTGGTAGTTTCATGTTTTCTAGTTGTTCCTTTGGTATCCTTTATACAATTGGAAACCATACAAATATGTAATGTTTATGATAGATCATTTAGAACATACAGATAATACCTTCTCATTGTTTGAATCAAACTTTTCTAGTGTCTCCTTTATTCTTTTAAAATAAAGTTCTTAGGTAATATGAGCTCTCCCCACACAAAATTTTAAACAAAATTAGAATAAGGCACTAACTATATATGGAAAATGAAAAGAAAGAAGTATATAATAAAGTATTGTATGCTTAATTAAACAAATATTTAGGCATACTACTTTAGAAGACTTGTGAAATAGATGCTTGATGTATATGTGTGATCACTGTGAACTTGACAGCTACAAAATGAGATTGATATAGGAATGTTGCATTGGCAACTCAGATGTCTCCAGCAGGGTTGTCAGTGGTGATGTCATCTTTTGAAATGATGAGCAACTGTTGGCAAAGTTCTGAGCAAAACAAAGTATAATCTTCCCTCAATATACGTGATGGTTTTGTTTCTGGAAAATTTATTATGTCATAAGATGATTTTAAGAACACCTTGTTCTTCCTTGCAAAATGGAGTTGGGTTCTAGACTCAGCTAAATAATTAGTTTTTTTTTTTTTTTTTTTTTGCTTTGTTTTTAAATATACCCAAACTTTGGCACTTTTGAAAGTAGTGTCGGCTGTGGCATGGTGATCTTTTCCATCAGTCACTCTTACACATTGCAGGATAATCTAGCATTCCTACCCTATAGCCACTGTTTAAATGCATTTCTGTGTCCTTGTGACAACTAACTACTCCGTTGAAATTTTGTCACTACATGTGTTATATATGTCCTTAATTTTCCTGAAATTCATATGTAAAGTGAGTTCCCTATGTATAAAATTTCAAACATGAGTATGATTCCCTGAATGTAATGGAAAGAGGTAGGAAAGGACAGAAAGCTGCCTATAACACATTTGTGTTTCTCTTAAGTAAATGCTCAGGCACTTCTCCATTAGAAGGCTTGTGAGAGAGTCAGAGGCTTGTGCCTGGGTCTGTGGGAGCCATGGACTCCACAGGTGCAAACGAGGCTGCTACAGATGTGTGGGATGAACAGCTCAAAACCACGAGCAGGCATAGAATCCATGGGATCAATGACCACACAACAGTAATTATAGAAATGAAAGTATAGAAGACCACTTTAAATAACATGCTCACAGAGTTGTTAGAAAAGGTAAGTTACCCCAAAGTCTGGAAATGTTATAAATTTGTAAATAAAATACAAATACATAGTAAAAACTGGTAAGAAAGTAAAGATTTCTTTTCTTTTGCTTTATTTGTATTTTCTAAATTATCTACATAAACATGTAATGCATATATAATATTCTTAAATGTTGTGTAAAGGATTCCACGTTACCCATTATACAATGTAAGGAATTACCCATTCCGGTGGCAGACTAGGTGCTCTCAATGTCTCTATTGATCAAAATATCTAAAATGCTGGCTCAGTTCTTCAAACTAAATGAAACAGTGAATCAAACCTCTTTTTTTTTTTTTTTTTTGTTTAACTGTTTCTTATGCCCCTCCTGTCATCCCTTTCTTCCTTACCCAACTAAAATTCCAAGCCCATCATTATACTCGCCCTCACGCTCCTGCATGTACTCTTAAATACTCACCAGCCCCATCTTATTAAACCTATTTATGCAAGCCTGATGAAATCCACTTTTGTGCCCACTCCAGGTGAGTGGGATGGGGAAAGAGGGAGGGAAGACCCTGCTATTTATTTGAGTTGGTGACCACTGATGTTAGATCATCCTTGCCTTGTAGCTTTGCATTTCCCTAAGGCTATTTCAGATCTCCCTCTGTCTTCAAACCCAAAAGGCTTAAGCCCTGCCCCTCACTCTGAGCTAGTGAGGCTGCTTCCTGTTTCATTGAAGAAATCAACACAAGCAATCAGGAGAACTTAGAGGTACCAGCCAGCCTGTGTCTGCATATCATGTCTGCCTTCTGTGATGTACACACTCTGCCAGAAATCTCCTTGTTCCTCTGGAAGGCTGCTCTGTGCCCTTGGTCCACTCAAGTTCTTGGTTTTTCCCCACACCATCCATTTCTCTGTCCTTCCCATTGGCATTTAAACATGCCATCATTTCTCCCACCCCAAACAAAACAAAACAAAAACGCCTTTCTTGACCGAAACCACAAGCCTGTTTTTCTCTTTTCTTGTATTCCCCATTTGCTGGTATCCCTTGAATTTACTCTGTCTAGGCTTTTATTTCAACTATTCTATTGAAATGGCTCTTTTCATACTTTCTTTTTTTTTTTTTTCACTTGCTTTGTAAATTGAGAGGTAAAATTGTATGTATTTACTGTGTACAATGTGATGTTTTGAAGTATATATACTACATTGTAGAGTGAGTACATCTAGCTAATTAACATATACATTACCTCACATAGTTACCATTTTCGTGGTAGGAACGCTTTACATCCACTCAACATTTTTCTTTTTCTTTTTTTTTTTTTTTTTGAGACAGAGTATCGCCCTGTCACTCAGGCTGGAGTGCAGTGGCGCGATCTGGGCTCACTGCAACCTCTGCCTCCCGGGTTCAAGCAATTCTCCTGCCTCAGCCTCTTGAGTAGCTAGAACTACAGGCACGCGCCACCATGCCTGGCAAATTTTTTTATATTTTTAGTAGAGACAGGGTTTCACCATATTGGCCAGGCTGGTCTTGAACTCCTGACCTTGTGATCTGCCTGCCTCAGCCTCCCAAAGTTCTAGGATTACAGGCATGAGCCACCTCACCTGGCAACATTTTTCAAGAATACAATATATTATTAACTACAGTCACCATGTTGTACAACAGATCTCTTGAACTTATTCTTCCCATCTAACTGAAATTTTGTATCTTTGATCGACATCTTCCCAACTTCCAGCCCACCCCAGCCCGTGGTGCCCCCATCCCACTCTCTACTTTCCAACAACCAGCCCGCCCCAGCCCGTGAGCCACCATCCTACTATCCACTTCCCAACTCCCAGCCCATGCCAGCCCATGGTACCCCCATTCCACTCTCCACTCCCCAACAACCAGTCCATCCCAGCCCGTGAACCACCATCCCACTCTCCACTTCCCAACAACCAGCCAACCCCAGCCCATGAGCCACCATCCCACTCTTCACTTCCCAGCAACCAGCCCATCCCAGCCCCCGGTGATCCCATTCCACTCTCCACTCCCCAACGACCAGCCCATCCCAGCCCATGGTGCCCCCATTCTACTCTCCACTCCCCAACTCCCAGCCCTTCCCAGCCCGTGGTGCCCCCATTCCACTCTCTACTCCCGAACTGCCAGCCCCACCCCAGCCTGTGGTGCCCCCATTCCACTCTCCACTCCCCAACTCCCAGCCCATGGTGCCCCCTTTCCACTCTCCACTCCCGAACTGCCAGCGCCACCCCAGCCTGTGGTGCCCCCATTCCACTCTACTCCCCAGCTCCCAGCCCTTCCCAGCCCGTGGTGCCCCCATTCCACTCTCCACTTCTGAGATTACCTTTCCTAGAGGCCACATTTGAGTGAGATCATGCGGTATGAAACAGCTCTTTTCAAAGCCTCCAGTGTTCTGTTATTCAGCCTGATGGGTGATAGTCATTCCTTCCATCCTTCGCCTGTCATTAGGATTCCATGCAGCTGACGGTATCTTCCTCCTCGGAGCACCTGTCTTGCTTGGTTCCTGGGACGCCACCCTCTCCTGGCTCTCTTCCTACTTTGTGGCCGCTCCTTGCCTTTCCTTGCTAGATTTTCTTTATCTTTCTGGCCTCCAAATACTGGCCCATGACCAGGGCTCAGTGTTGGCCCCTCTTTTTTTGTGGCTCTACCCACCTTACCTGTATGATTTCTTTTACTTTCAAAGCTTTACGTATCTGGAGACTTGTGACTTTCATATGTACTTTTGCAACTTGGATCTGTCTTGTCCTTTCTACATCTATGTATGTCCAGCTCCTGCAGGTAATCACTAATTTGAATGCCCAACAGGCTTTGGAAAATCAACATATCCAAAGCGGGCCTCTGGCCACCCAGCCCTTTATCCACAAACCTGCCCTGTCTATATTTTCCCCCATCCCAACAATATGTATGTCAATCCATCCTTTCTGACCCTTTGAAATCTTTGGCTCTTCTCTATCAAGCCCACTTTTTTTTTCTTTTTTTCCAAATAATGTGTGTGGTTTCACCTTAAGAAAATAAGATTTATGAGTGGAAGGACTTTGTTTTGTCATTATGTCCCCAGCACCTAGGTCAATGCCTGCACAAAGTAGAAACTTAGTAAACATGGTGAAAATTGTTGATTTAATCATTCAAAAAATCTTTTTTATTTGCTGAAACATAGTAAAACATACTTTACAGTGTTGAAGAAGGTAAATGTTTACTGCTGGGTATTTAAATTTTGTGATTTCTTTTGGAATTGCAGATAGTGCTTTGTGGAATGCTTTTATAGCTGGTTCCTTTGTGCAGTATAGATGCATGTATGTGAGCAAACAGGCTTTCTTCTTTGATAGAATTGCTGGGCAAAAGAACAGGCACATTTTAGGCCAGGCGCAGTGGCTCATGCCTGTAATCCCAGCCCTTTGGGAAGCTGAGGTGGGTGGATCACCTGAGGTCAGAAGTTCGAGACCAGCCTGGCCAACATGGTGAAACCCTGTCTCTACTAAAAATATAAAAAATTAGACAGGTGTGGTCGCGCATGCCTGTAGTCTCAGCTACTCAGGAGGCTGAGGGAGGAGAATCGCTTGAACCCAGGAGGCAGAGGTCGCAGTGAGCTGAGATCGTGCCACTGCACTGCAGCCTCGGTGACAGAGCAAGACTCTGTCTCAAAAAAAATTAAAAAAAAAAAAAGCACATTTTAAAGATTTGGTTTTGGGCGGGCTCAGTGGCTCATGCCTGAAATCCCAGCACTTTGGGAGGCCCAGGCGGGCAGATCACTTGAGGCCAGGCGTTCAAGACTAGCCTGGCCAACATGGTGAAACCCTGTCTCTACTAAAAATACAAAAATTAGCTAGATGTGGTGGTGCATACCTGTAGTTGCAGCTACTTGGGAGGCTGAGGCAGGGGGATCACTTGAACCTGGGAGGCAGAGGTTGTAATGAGCCAAGATTGCACCACTGCACTCCAGTCTGGGTGGACACAGCAAGACTCCGTCTCAAAAAAAAAAAAGCCCCACCTCTTTTTTAACCAAATTCCTCTCTAGAAGGTTTTTTAACAAATTACGCGCCCCACCCCCCCAGCTCACTTTCCTACATTTTAATATATATTTTCCAGTGGTTCTTATTTTAAGTTTTATTTTTAGTGAGGATTTAACTGTTTTCTGAGCACCGACAGAATTAAAGAGCCCTCACAGAATTTGGAATTAGGATGGATCTAGGTGATGTGTTACAATGATGGAACAGATCGTGGAAATTCGATTGTATCAGGAAGAAGTACACAGTTGGACATTGGTAATTTTTTTTGATTTACTGCTGACACTGCGGCTCCATGAATTCCACAACTTCTTGTTGTTTACATTTTTGTTACCATTACCATTTCTTGTCTCTGCTGCTCTTTTTAGGGGGCAGAATTAGAACTGGAGTGAGTAGGTCTGGTTTATTCTTCCTGTTGTAGATAGAGGATAACTAGGACATCAGAGGTTCACACTGTGCGTTCATCAGACATCTTATTTACCCAACACTCGTCATTTCCTTCTTTTAAAAAGCATCTATTTTTATGGCCTTTAAAAAAAGCTATTTGAAGAAGTTGCTTCCATTTTAAAGTATTTTTACATCCTAGCTTACTTCCTCAGACTTCATTAACCGAGATTTAATACTTTTATATAGAAGGGGAAAGCTCCTTCAATGCTGTGGTTTAGTTTTTGTTTTGTTTTGCTCTAACGTTTCTGCTTGCCTTATGTTTCCCCGTTGTCAGGTCTCGATGCATCACATGCAGGTCTGCTTCCCGGTCCCCTCTTAGCAAGCTCTCATGACCTTTCTCTCTCCTCCTAGTACCTTTAGACTCAGAATCGTTTTCCTTTTACCTCTGACTCCTGTTCTGCTTCAGACTTACTCTCCTAAGATACTGGAAGAGACCTCCTTTCCTGTTAAGGCACACATTTCTCCAGGAACCTTCACCCATCGTCTCCTGGCAGATGTTGTGTGTTAAGTGTCAAGGCCAGTGTTCCAACAATCAGGTAACTCAAAGAGAGTTGCCTGGCCGCAGACAGGGGGCTGTCTGTCAGTACCCTTTCTTGTGACCGAGGTCTTCTGCTGGTCTGGAACAGTTGGCATCCTCGCACAACCCTGTCTGTTTTCATGGCTTTAAGGGACACTGTTGTGCCCTCATAGCCAGAAAAACCTTTTTCTTTTCTTAGAGAAGAGTTGTAGCAAGTAACCCTATTTAAGAAGTCACCATTTTTTTTTTAGAGAGTATGGATCTTTTTAAAAAACCTTAGTGTAAAGCAGCAACATAATTTCAAACTTGGCTTTTATACGTATAGTTTCTCTTCAAGTTGATATAGTTGTTTCGGATTCTTAAGAGAAATAATGGGTATTATGAAAGTGTACTTATTTACCTCAGGGTCTGTTGGACAAGCAAAACATAAACCATTTTATGAGCCCCTTTGGGCTTGGGACTGTTTTGCATGTGGGAATCTAGTGTTGAGTCAGACGTTGTTGCTGACCTAAAGGAGCCCCTAGTTGAACAGGAGGGTTGACGGTGCCGTGGGAGGGGTGTGTTTCAAGCTGTGATTCTAGTGTTGTGAGGCTTAGGAGAAGATGTTGATAAAAGTGTCTCAGAGGAAGTCTGGAAGAATGAGGAAGACTTTGCTGGTGAGAGAAGAAGTGATCCTGGGATAGGGCCAGTTCCTTGTTAGTGAAAATAGAGGGGATGCCCATTCCTGAGAGATACTGAAGTAGACAATGAGGTCAGTTAACAGTCAAGGTCATTTAGATGGAGCATATTAATTATGGTGGGAACTGGTGATTTATATTGCCTTTGCCTCAGTGATTAAAAATGAAATGAGGTTATTTATTGTTCAATATCATTTAAAACAGAAAATAGTACTAGTTTAGCAGTTAACTTCTAGCAGTAGATCACTTGGTAGTTGGACCAAGTGGAAATCTGAGTCTACTTTTATGAGAGTAGGTAGATGGGTGTTTAAATGATATTTTCTAAAATATCTTTCTTCAGACATCTTTTTGGTCAGCAATTTTTAAAAGAGATGCCGTGAACTGGAAGTACTTGGCACATGGGCAATCATTTGGAAAAGAACAAAATAGTACTGGAACATGGGGGTAAAATAGGTTTCAATTTTTTAACATAAAATATCCATCATAATCCACATAGTAAGCAAAATCTTTCAAAGGAGCTTAACTTAGAAAAAATACTTTTTTTAAAGCTAAAAACATAGTGAAATATATTTTTGATTTAAAGCTTGTAACAGCATGCCACTCAAGTCATTGAAGGAACACAGAAGTCACATTAGGGACAGAGGCTGTGATCCATTGTGGGGTAAACAGTTCCTTATATTGTTGTTATTTATATTATGCAAATCTGTTTCTTATATAGAAATAAGACCAAAATTTAATTTATAAGCCAATCCTGCAGATTTTGGGGGAAAATTAACCTTACAAGGCCTGTGGAAAGCCACTGAAGTGTTCATTTCACTTATTTTAAGATTTTATTATAAGAGCAAAAAAACAAGGACATATATAGTTTGTTGCCATTAATTGCTTAGTTTTTGGATATTAACACAGTCTATTAACTCAGTAAAAACCAGAATATAGTTAATGTTATTCTTTGTTTTAAAGGATATTATTAGTGAAGACTTGGGTTATGTTTGAATTTTGAATCTTTTTCTTTCTTCTTGCTACAGTTGTCTCAGGCTTTGAACCATTGCTGAGGGAGATTTCCTTTTAAGTTTGAAGAGCTTGTAAGCATCCGAGGAGACAACTTCTGGGTCACTTAGTGGCTGAGCAAGGCCTATTCCTAGACTCTGATTGTTGACTTGGGGCTTCTAACCTTGTGTTGGGGCCGGTTTTGGGAGCACAGAGGTGGGGTTAGATAGGCTGCAGGAGCCACCAGCCTGCCTGCGCTCGCTCTGGCAGGATGACTGATGCCAGGAGGATGGGAATGAGGACTAGTGACCTTCCTCTCTCTGTTCCCTTTTTCTCCCTTGGGGGAAAAACTAGTATAGTAAAAGCTCAGCACTCGTTTTGAATATAGGTGTAATTTGCTGCGTTAACAGTTTCAGTTTATTGTGTGTTTTGGTGGCGTTATTCCTGAAAGCTTCTTAAAATAAAAAAAGTAGAAAAAAAGACCCATTGAAGAATGAAGAAAAATAACATTTTGAGAATGTTAGAATGTCTTTTGGTATGAATTTGGTTTTCTTAATTGCTGTAGAAATCAGGGTGAATCTGTAGTTAGTTGCAACTATGTCTGCCTGGGCCTTTGCTTTTCCTTAATAGTAGCAGAAGAAAGCAAGAGAAAAATCCTCAGATTTTATACACATCACTTCTAGTATCGAAGCATTTTTGGCTTTTAATGGAAAACTTTCAGTGTTTTTTTAATATGTTTTGAAGTATAATTGGGAATTTAATTGCATTGGATCATAATTTGATAATGCTATGTATTCATTTTCATATTTAACATATATTTTAAGTTTTTTTTTTCTTTCTAGTACCAGAATTAAAACCAGGAAGTGAGGAATTATATAGTAATAATATTTTCAATACTAATTTTAGAAAGGGGATGGAAGGCTCCTCCTGAGAAGAGTAGCCAGGAAGCCAGGCAGGCCTGGAGTGTGTGGCCAGCTGTGTCCTGGTTTGAAGCATCTCAGACACTGTTGGGCAGCTGCTTAGCCCAGTTTAACTGAAATGTGGAGGAGATCACATCAGCTGGGCATGACTGTCTACCATGGAGGCAGGAGAGGAAAACCTTAGATTGTTGAAGATGTATTTCTTAGTTGGGCGTGTTAGCGGACATCTGTAGCTCCAGCTGCTCAGGAGGCTGAGGCAGGAGGATCCCTGAGCCCAGGAGTTCAAGGCTGCAGTGAGCTCTGATCGCACCACTGCACTCCAGCCTGGGTCACAGAGTGAGACCTTGGCTCTTTAAATGAATGAATGAATGATATATTTCATCAAAGGCTAAAGAAAAACTTCAAACACCTTAAGAGGAGGGTTTAGTCTAAAGAGCAATTAAGCTTCACCTCCTTCTCTGATCCTAACACTGCTATAACTAACTGTAGGTGGGTGATCCCTCTCTCCCGCCAGAGGAGGATTTATGGAATTGAACCAGATGTCTTCACGCATGAGTGGACATTGCCTTGTTCTCTAGTTTTTAGTCCTAGTTCCCCAGACTCAGCAGCCAGTGGAAGAAGAAGCCTGCTCTTCTAAACCAGAAAGTTGGGTAGAACTGGCGCTCTCCGAGCAAGCCTCCTCATTGCACCCCTTCACCTCCCTCCCCTTCAGCTCCCTGGGCCTGACAGCCCATCTGTCTTCCTCTCTGATACCCTGCTCCTGCCCCCATTGGTATTGAGGGATGAAGTTGGGAAGAGAATGCAGTGTGCAGTTAAAAGTATCATCGAGGCTCATTATATATTCACTAATTCTCTTTCCTTGATATTTATATTCTGACACAAGGGAAATTGGGGAATTATTTTTTTCCTGGATTGTTTTTTTGCTACTCTCAGCTGCTTTCATTTGTCTTTAACATGCTCATTTCAATATGTTAAACTATGAAAAATGAAATAAAACATAATTTATACATAAAGTTCTTTCTTCATCAGTTTCTTTGATTTTTAAAATTTTTAATTAGAGTAACAAGCTCTATGTATATTGTATTCCAGAGGAAGATTATCTTCAGATGTTTGAAATGTAGCATTATTTTTAGCATTTGCTAATGTGGGCAGTGGTCACCTTTTTCTTTTTTTCTGCAAAAGAAAGAACAGAACCAGCTTAGGTCACTGATTGATTTTCCCCAAAGTGCTAGGCTTTTGGGAGAGGAATGGGTTTATGTCTCTTTGCATTAGCCTAGGGAGACAGAAGAAGATGGTGTCAGGAAGTCGGGCAGGGAAGGCCCTTTGGTATGTATACAGCTGTGGTTTTCTTTTCTTTCTCTTTTTCTTGTTCTTTTCTTTTCTTTTTTTTTTTTGACAGAGTTTCACTCTCGTTGCCCAGGCTGGAGGGCAGTGGTGCAATCTCAGCTCACCACAACCTCCGCCTCCCAGGTTCAAGTGATTCTCCTGCCTCAGCCTCCTGAGTAGCTGAGGGATTACAGGCAGTAATTAATTAATTAATTAGCAGGGGGACTCCAGGACCCTGGACCCCACTGTTTTACCAGTTGCCAAATATTTGGTGTATCTTCCTTGCTTGAAAGCAGTAGTTCTCATGTCTGCTTTCCTTATGGAAGAGCAGTGGGGGATTAACTTCAGGATGAATATATTAGTCACCTTGCTTGGAAAGTTGGAGGTGTTCATTTTAACATAAAGTGGGATGAATATATAGCTTGCCCTCCTTGGAAAGTTGGAGGTGTTTAACATAAAGTGACTAAAGAAATAAATAAAGTGGGTAAATAAATAAATTTTATTTTAATTTAATTTTGATGTAATTGATGATAATTTCAGATTTCTGGAGTCATCTTTATGTTTTTTCCCAAATGGAAATTTGACTGTTTAAAAGGTAAAAAGTCTTCTACAGTAATAGCACTTGATGGGAAAACACACACACACACACACACACACACACACACACACACACACACACACACACACAAAATGTAAGGGAATCTCTAAAAAATTCACATTTTCTGCTATTTCTTGGAGAAGGGGGATGCCTGTGGCCTGTCTACTTTCGTAGAAGATTGGTAAAGTTGATACTAATTGGATGCTAAGTTCTTTTTAGTATATTGTTTTTCTGAAAGTCTGTACTCTTAGAGTGGGGAAGAGATAATTTAGTAGATCAAATGATCCATTTTAACATCTTGTAAAAAGTTCAAAAAGTAATACATATTTGTAAAAAAAATTCAGCAGAATCCTTGTGCTTCTTGCATTTTGAAAGCATTATTGATACAATGCAAAACAACAGAATCTTCTTTATCTTTTATTGTCTTTGGCTGTTTCTTCTGTTTCTCTAGCTTTTTTTTTCTTTTTCTTTCCTTCAGTTATTTTAGCTTTCATTCCATAGGCATTTCACAGAGAAATCAGACAACTTTTGAGATTAACCCCCTCAGCAGTTTTAGGGATGAATTGGCAAGACAGGCTTTTGAGGCAGGATCTTTCTGGCACTTTACTTCACTCTCTTTGGCAAAAAGAAGGTCTGTACCTCTTTATCCAGCACGCGGGTTCAGGAGCTCTGTCTCAGCAGGTCACTGTCATGCCACTTGCAACCCCCCATGGTATTCATCTAAGTGAAGAGTGTGGATAATAACGTAAGGGGTCCTGTATAGGTTGCCCTTTTTTTTTTTTTTTTGGAGATGGAGTCTTGCTGTGTCGTCCAGGCTGGAGTGCAGTGGTGCAATCTCAGCTCACTGCAACCTTTGCCTCCCAGGTTCAAGCAGTTCTCCTGTCTCAGCCTCCCAAGTAGCTGGGGTTACAGGTGCATGCCACCGTGCCCAGCTATTTTTTGTATTTTTAGTAGAGATGGGGTTTCACCATGTTGAACAGGCTGGTCTCGAACTCCTGACCTTAAGTGATCCGCCCGCCTCGGCCTCCCAAGGTGTTGGGATTACAGGGTGAGTCACCATGCCTGGCCTAGGTAGCTCTTTAGACTAGAGTTACTTAAGCAGTCTGGGCTTTTATTGCATGTTTAATTCAGATACTAATGGCATATTTGCAAATTCTTAAGTAATTTTTATTTGTGTTTCAGTTATTTAGAAAAGTATTACAATGTTGAATGTGGTTATTTGCAGCTAATCTGGTTCAAAACATCTCTATGAAATTATGATGTTTTCAGTTTTGGTAAATCCCATTGTTGATTATCTCTGTTCTTACCCTTTAATCTTTCTGGAGTCTTTGAGAATCTGGTAAAAGCTACAGATTCTCCTCCCAGACAAATACATGCATCACAGAGTTGCTGTATTCTCAGGGGAGTGTTCAAAGACCTTCTACTCCAGGTCAAGAATTCAGGCCCTAGATATGAGTTATGGTCCCAGTGTGGGGTAGGAAGAACTGATGTTGCTAGTTTCTGAAGGCCTCCTGTGGCCCTCCAGGTCTGTGGCTCGTGTGCCGGAAGTAGTCTGCTTCTTGGTTGGGAGAAGAAGGGGCTTGGGTTCTTGGAGCAAGAATCAGCCTTCCAAGTGTGAGATGCCAGTGCAGGGCCATGTCATTGAAAAGCTGATGATGATCTTCTCAAGTTGTTGCTTTAACCACAGTAAGACAAATAAGACCATCCCTGGCCCAAGGAGGATAGGTGAAGGGTGGGTGGACAGGTATCTACCTGGGAAATTAGCCATTGTTAATGTTACAGCAAAATGCCCTATTACAGATGCTAGGTAATGGAGTAATATCCAAAACCCCACATTGTAGGACTCACTTAATTATCATAATTTAATGAAAATATAACACTGTATTTAATCAACAGTCCTCGAAATTTATAGACAAATCTGGGAAATTCAGATTCCTGGACCCCATCCTCCGGTTGGGAATTGTCAGCTGTCAGGTAGGGTCCAGAAGTGCCTCCTTATCTGGTGGGTGGGAGCATCGTTAAGTGCACACACTCTAGAGAAAGAATATCTTGGTTCCCATCCCTTCTCCACCACTTGCCAACTGAGTGACCTTGGCAGGTTACTCAACCTAATTTTCTTCATAAGTAAAATAGTACTTACTTTATGGGGTCAGTGTGGAAATCAAGAGTTTATTGTATGAGTAAAGCACTTAGGAGAGTACCTGATAGATGGTGTGATGTAGAATTATTAGCAGCTGCTGTTACTACCAACACTGTCCTCAGCATCATGGCCACTGGATAAAGTTCTATTAGTTGATTCTCTTTTTTTTTTTTTTTTTAAAGACAGAGTCTTGCCCTGTTGCCCAGGCTGGAGTGCAGTGGTACAATCTCGGCTCACTGCATCCTCTGCCTTCTCCCAGGTTCAAGTGATTCTCATGCCTCAGCCTCCCAAGTAGCTGGGGTTACAGGTGTGCGCCACCATGCCCAGCTAATTTTTGTAGAGACAGGTTTCACCGCGTTGGCCAGGCTGGTCTTAAACTGATCTCAGGCGATCTTCCTGCCTCAGCCTCCCAAAGTGCTGGGATTACAGGCATAATCTATGGTGCCCAGACTGATTCTCATTCTTAAATATGCTTTTAAAAATAACAATAGCTGACATCTGTGAACATTTAAATGGCACCAGGCACAGTGCTAATTGCTTGAAGGCAGTGTGTCATGATCATGAATACAACCTTAGAAGGTAGGTTCCTGTATCTTAGTAGCAGGTCCCTTATACAGTCATCCCCCTTGTCAGCCAGGGGATGGGATAAGTTCCAAGACCCCCAGTGGATGCCTGAAAGTGTGGATAGTACTGAACTCTGTGCATACTATGCACAAATTTCTTTTTCCTTTACAGTTTCAAGGATAAAAGATTCATTCTTTCCCTAGATCTTAGCAACCTCAGGATGTGCTATTTTTTTCTTTGCTTATTAAGTCAAGAACTTTTCACTTAAAGGAAGTAGTTTACAGCTTCTCTTTGGCTGACTGATTGCCAGCATCACTATTCTGGTGCCTTGGGGCCATTATGAAGTAAAATTAGCGTGATTTGAACACAAGCACTGATACTGGATCTGGTAACAGCTCCTAAGTGACCAGTGGATGGGAAGCGCCTGCAACGTGGATTGCCTCACAAAGGGAGGAGTCACATCCAGGCGGGCAATTTAAAATTGTGAATTGTTTATTTCTGGAATTTTTTCCCTTTAATATTTTTGAACCACAGTTGACCATGGGTAACTGAAATCATGGACAGCGAAACCGTGGGTAAGGGTGGTGGGGAGCTACTGTATCTTGGTTTTATGGATGAGGAAAGGAATTATTTAGGTAATAAGTTATAGGGAGCTGAGATTCTTGGATGTTGTATAGATTTTTAAAAATTATTAGATACATTACTTTTTCCCTACAAAAAGTATAGAGAGCAGAACATTTACTGTGGCTCATTTGCCTTTATGACTTTATTAAAATACATTCATTATTAAAAATCTTAACTAGTCTTTAGTCTTGCCTATCATTATGTTGATTATTTTAGGAAAATTAATTTTAGGCAACCATGTGGCTTCCTTTCTCATTCTGAGCCCACTGTTAGTTTAGGAAGAAGTCTTATGAAAACTTCTTTCCTACGAAAGAAGGCAAATTTAAAAGCTTGTCTTAAGTTTTGAATATAAATTAGCAGCCTCTAGGATTCTTGCTTCTTAAGCTTAGGGGAGATGGCTGCTCTTGGTATTGCTCTGTTCTTTTCTTCCATATCCCCTCAGGGTTCCTCTATACTGAAGCCAGGGACTGCAGGTCCTTGTTTACATGGGTGTCCTGTGCCATGGTGACATTCTGTGAATTGCAGGCGTTTTGCAGTGTTGAGTCCTTTGTCAGTAAGACTGAGACTTATCAGTAAGAAAGCATCATGAAGTAGCTTATACAAGCCTGTCCTTTTTCTAGAATGGTTTTTTGTTGGGTATGGTGCCACACACCTGTAGTCCCAGCTACTCAGGAGGCTTAGGAGAAAGGATCCACTGAGCCCAGGAGTTTGAGTCACAGTGAGCTATGATTGTGCCACTGCAGTCCAGCTTGGGCACCACAGTGAGACCCTTTCTCTAAAAAAAAGAAAATTATAAAAAGGTTTTAAAAAAGTCTGGAAATAATTATTCCTTTGAATTGATAGAAAATAAATAATATCCTGAATATTCTTTGGACTCATTAATAATATATATAGTTTATTAGAAGGAATATGGCTTTAAGCTTCTAATTGGCCTCTGGGATTAGTTGCAGTTAAAAAGCATTTGCAGTTTAGACATGTGATTTTTATCTAAACTAAAAGATTTTTGGAGCAGAGGGGAAGGGAAACTATCGATGTGGACTGGGAAAAATTGAAGGGATTTAGTAGTCTTCTGAACAGATAATGAACAGTACTCATCATGGCACATGCAAGAGACCCATTCCACCCCTGTTCTTTGAGCACCATGAGCCTGAGATAGACAAGCAGGAGGAGTGAAGGCACATGTGATGCACTCGTAGTCTGCATAGGCCATTGCCACCCAGTATGGCTGGTGGAATAGGAAACTAAGCTGTTTGGAGTCATACAGCTGATGAATAGTGAAGTTGGCATTTGAATTTGGGTTTGTCTGAACTCAAAGATTCAAGGTCCTTAGAAGAGATCTGTGGCTGCATAAGGCTTCTTGGAGCTGGTGAAATAGGACACCAGGCCTTTAAGAGGTGGGGTTAAGATAAAGTCAGAGTGTGAGATTTAGGCTGGGAGGGCACCTTCAGCTGAGATCAAAAGATTGAACAAGGATCACTGAGTCAACAAGAAGAGCAGGTTTTACTTTGGGAACCTAGGGGAAAAATGAAATTGTTAAGGTTAATTTGGTTAAGATCATGGAGGGGTTTTGTTTTGTTTTGTTTAGGATAGCTAAGCATTAGGATTTAATAGTGCAGCAAACATGTTAAAAATAGGTGGGGGCATTATGAAACAGAAAGATTGAAAGTTCTATGGTTAATGCTTAATGTATGTTCACAGGGGAGGAGGTTGGAGGCATAGTTTTTCAGATGAAAGCCAGAGTCAGTCTCAGCCCCACTCTAGGTTCATGAAGTTGCCTTTCATACCATTAACTTCATTCAGTTTCCTTTAAAAGGAAATTTCCAAATGTAAACAGAAGTAGATAATGGTGTAATTAATCTGGCACACGTCACTCCACCTTCATCTTGTTTCACCTCTGTCTCCCCCTTCTCATCCCCGTATCCCCTGTCCCTTTTATTATTTTGAAGTAAATTCCAGATGTTACTATTTTGAGAAGGAGTCTCTCTCTGTTGCCCAGGCTCGGGTGCAGTGGTGAGGTCTCGGCTCACTGCAACTTCGCCTCCCAGGTTCAAGTGATTCTCCTGCCTCAGCTTCCCGAGTAGCTGGGATTACAGGCACTGCCACCATGCCTGGCTAATTTTTTGTATTTTTAGTAGAGACAGGGTTTCACCATGTTGGCCAGGCTGGGCTCGAACTCCTGACGCCGTGATCCGCCTGCCTTGGCCTCTCAAAGCACTGAGATTACAGGTGTGAGCCATCATGCCTGGCCCAGATGTTGTATCATTTCATTGGTAAATATTTCAGTATGTGCCTTTAAAAGATAAAGAACTTTAAAAAAGAGACATAATACAGTTATCACTATTAAAATATAATTTATTCCTATCAATTATCCAGTATTCAAATTTCCAATAATCTCATAAATGGAATATATATTATTGTTTAATTTACATTGTGGGGTAGTTTGAATCAGGATCCAAATAAAGTGTTAACAATTTGTTGTTATCTTTTAATTACTCTTCATTTCTAGGATTTTCCTCCATCTCCTCTCCTTCTCGTCCTCTCACTTTTCATTTTTTTCTGTTGCCATTTATTTATTGAAACTGGGACATTTGTCTAGTAGAGATTCCCACAGCCTGGGATTTCCTGATTGATTTGCAATGGTTTAACATGTTGCTTGGACCTTTTTATTTCCTATAAATTAGTGGTTTGATCTGCAGGTTTTGTCAAACTCATCATTTTTTGGGAGGTGGGATATTTTATTCCTGATCTGTTTTTTGGTAAGCATCAAATGTCTTGATCCCCACCCCACCCCCGCTTCTGGTGGCATTATTGATGCTCTCTGCAGTCTTAATTTCCAGTATATTTTTACTGCATTATTTTGCAGTCATCCTTTTGCCATAAGACTGCCAGTAACAAACAGCAAAATGTGTTCTGTAGCACATTTACCAGGCAGAGTAGCTGCTAACATGATAAATATTCTTGGATGTGTGCCCAAGTTTTGTTCAGTTTTATGTGTTTGTCCTTATACATTTGTTTTTGTGTTGCTGTGTCTAATTCTAAGTATAAGCTCCTAGAAACCATTCAGTCATTCACCTGGCTTTTATCCAGTACCCATCCTTGCTGGGCCCTTGGGAATCCAAGACGATAGCATCCCCGTCTTAGAAAAATGGTGTCCAGTTTGGGATACACCACAAATAGTTAATATATGGCATTCTAAGTTCTTTAAGAGGAGCCCATTTGAGGTTGGTTTGAGGTAGTTGTTTTGGAGGGTGATAGGGTTAACTTCTAGCAGGATCTTGAGGACAGTAAGGAGGAGGAAGGGCATCCACTTGGACTGGCTGAAAGGCACCGAGGAGCAGTGGCCGCATGGCCCATGGGACCCGAGCAGCTGAACAGGTGAAGTACGGTTTTGCCCCACACCCTGGGGCCGGCCCTGTAGAAGCTGACCTGGTGGCCGGAGGGTGCCTGAAGAGCTCTTCTGAGCCCAGACTGGGACTTAAACTTCCTTCTGTAGGCCTTCGGGAGGCATTTTCTGAGCACTTGTATTTGAGGAAGTCAGCAGCATTGACCGCAGTGCAGGTGTCTGCCATCGGATCAGGAGGAAGGGGATGGACTGGGTGATGATTTGGGCTTTGGTGATGTGTCAGACGTGCACAGATTGTAGAAGAGATAATGAGTTGTGTGGGGTGGCTCTGAGCAATCTCATTTGGGTGCTCTCCTTCGGTGAGGTGGGGGCCCAAGGGAGAAGGAACAGGTCTGTGGGGTCATTTGGGAGAGTCATTTCTTGACCCGATGAGTGCAAGGCACTCTCTCCAGAGGTCCAAACATTAAGGATGCAGTTAAGGACCTCCTGTAGAGATTTGGGAATCACCACCAAGCAGGGGGCCACATGGAGTCCTTGGGGTACAGACACTTGAGGGGCCCCCATTCTTAAAGGACAGGGAGAAAGAGAAGAGCCGGTAGAGGATCCTTAAAGAACATAATCTGGCAGGCGGGCCCCTTCACCTGGCTTGCCAGCCAGCCTGTAGGCTTCTGGTAATGCTTGATGATAAGGAGTGTGGCTTTGCCTTCACACCTGTGGAAGAGAATTTTTCATTTTCGCATTTCTTACTTATTCATGTTACTGGAATTGATGTTTTAGAAGTGTTCCACGTATAAACTACTTAAGATTATAATTTTTCAAAAGAGAATTTAGGGGAATATATGAAGCCCAGGATAAAACCTTAAAAAGCTAAAATTATATTCAATCCCTTATTATGTGATAGTGTTTGAAGCTTCCAGTTGTCTCTAGTGTACAGTTATTATAGAAATGAAGAGATATCCATCACTTTCAGTTACTCCAGCCTAGTGCTCATAAGCTAGCTCTGCAAATGACTTCAGTTTTTGTTTCCTGGTAGGAAAAAACGAGGTAACAATAGCAACTATCTTGTGGTGGTGTCGTTAGGATGAACCGTGCACACTACCTCTGTGCACAGTACCTGTCACAAGTCCCCTCTTGCGAATATGAGCTGTCAGTGGGGCTTTCCTGAGGTGGCAAGGGCTGAGCATGCCATCCTTGATGTGCATGTTGTATGGATTTATATCGCTTTCCTTTTGGAAATGATATTTGAAATTCATCTACACACAGAAAGTGGAGGGAGGTCAATAATATGCCAAATGTCTGAAGCCTAGGGATGATTTCACGAACTGTGGCAGGCTGTGTGGCCACCAGGCATCCTCTCTGTGGAAGTGGTCGCAGCCACCTCTCCCCCACCCTCACATGTTGGGGATAGGCTTCTGTTTCCCTTTTACGATTTGGAATTGGTGATAGGGAATTTCCAAAGCACAAAGAGAAAAGGATCAAGAAATTATTGAGACTACTCAAATCGTCATTCATTCCCTCATTCTGAATTATTGCAAGATAATAACAATGTGGCCATCTTAACTCTCTTCCTAGCATATCTATACTTGATGTGAGGATTGGAAAAACTTTTCTTAAATAACATGACAGTTATCACTTATTCCAGATCCAGACACCATGGAGGCTCTGTTGCATTTTGTTTCTGACCTGACGCTCTTTGTTGGATTTTGCTGGCATCTAGAGGCCTCCTCACTGACCTCTTACTAGGTGCCATTGCCATTTGTTTGTCAAGGACCAAGGTGCTCCTTTCCCTCCTCCATTCCTCCATCATCTGTTAGTTTATAGTCTGTATGCTCTTAAATTCTTTTTTTTTTTGGTTACTGTCTACCTATCTTCCCACTCATCCCCTGCTCTGGTTTTGCTACTTTTTATGATGTAGTTTGACACCTGGAGTAAGTTTTGTTCTATTCCAGAATGATGGACTGTAAGTGTAAATTGATACTTCCTTTGTTAAGAACAATTTGCCAGTATATATTAACATTTCAAATGTAGCAATCTGATACAGTTTGGATCTGTGTCTCCACCCAAATCTCATGTCTAATTGTAATCCTTAATGTTGGAGGTGGGGCCAGGTGGGAGAGGATTGGATCATGGGGGCGGTTTCTCTTGAATAAGGTTTCAGACCATCCTCTTGGTGCTGTTCTCGTGATAGTGAGTGAGTTCTCATGAGACCTGGTTGTTTAAAAGTGTGTAGCACCTCCCTGCTCTCTCCCTTGCTGCTCCCACTGTGTGAGCCACCTCACTCCCCTTTTGCCTTCCACCATGATTGGAAGCTTCCTGAGGCCTCCTCAGAAGCAGAAGCTGCCATGCTTCCTGTACGGCCTGCAGAACTGTGAGCCAATTACACCTGTTTTCTTTATAAATTATGCAGTCTTAGGTATTTCTTTATAGCAGTGTGACAATGGACATATACAACCCTTTGACAGAAATTTCACTTGTAAAGATTGATGCTACAGAGATTTTCATGTGAAGATATATGCGTAAGGATGCTTACTATAGTGCTGTATGAAGAACGGAAGACTGGAAACAACCTAAATGTACATCAATAAGTGACTGGTTAAATACGTTACTCCACCTACAAATAATGCAATGTTGTGTGGCCATAAAAAAAAAGAATAAAGTAGATATTTAGTTGCAGATATAGAATGAGCTCTACAATATATTAAGAGGCTGAACAACGTGCTGTTTACAGAAAATATGCTCTAGTTGTATATAAAGGAAAAAGGATTTAAATTCACATTTAAACTTGGTAACACATTGAAAAATTGCAGAAAGGTAAATAAAAAAATCCAAAGCTAGGCCAGGCAGAGTGGCTTATGCCTGTAATCCCAGCACTTTGGGAGGCCAAGGCGGGCAGTTCACAAGGTCAGGAGATAGAGACCATTCTGGCCAACACAGTGAAACCCCATCTCTACTAAAAATACAAAAAATTAGCCAGGTGTGGTGGCACATGCCTGTAGTCCCAGCTACTCGGGAGGCTGAGGCAGGAGAATCTCTTGAAACCGGGAGGCAGTGCTTGCAGGGAGCCGAGATTGCGCCCACTGCACTACAGCCTGGACTACAGAGCGAGACTCAGTCTCAAAAAAAAAAAAAAAAAAAAAAAATTCAAAGCTTATACCATGGGAATGTTTTCCCTTTTTAATTTTTTAAAAAGTGTCTTTGACGTTTTGGTTATTCTGCATTTTATTCAAAGTTACATATTGCTATTTGGATTTTATTCATTTCCTAATGAAAGAAAACAGAAGCACTCCTGCTCCTGGCCTTTCTACTAGGCCCTTGTAATAGTTATCTTTACCCTTTCCTGTAGTAGAAGTGGGATACTAGTGTTTTCCTCCTGGTCATGTTTCATTTCATACTGTGATATGTTCAAGTACCTCGCAAAGGGAATAAGCCCATAGTAGGCATTCAGTCAGCGTCTACGACATTTGTTACAAGAGGCCTGGGCACAGTGGCTCATTCCTGATTTTCAGCACTTTGGCAGGAGAATCACTTGAGGCCAGTAGCTGGAGACCAGCCTGGGAAGTATAGTGATACCCCATCTCTCAAAATATTAAAAAAATAAATAAATTAGGCCGGGCACGGTGGCTCACGCCTGTAATCCCATCACTTTGAGAGGCCGAGGCAGGCTGATCACTTGAGGTTGGGAGTTTGAGACCAGCCTGACCAACATGGAGAAACCCCATCTCTCCTAAAGATACAAAATTAGCAAGGCATGGTGGCGCATGCCTGTAATCCCAGCTACTCGGGAGGCTGAGGCAGGAGAATCGCTTCAACCCGGGAGGTGGAGATTGCGGTGAGCTGAGATTGCGCGATGCACTCCAGCCTGGGCAACGAGAGCAAGATTCCGTCTTAAAAAAAAAAAAAAAAAAAAAAAATCAGCCAGGCATAGTGGTATGTGCCTGTAGTCCTAGCTACTAGGGAGGCATGGGTGGGCTGAGGCAGGAGAATTGCTTGAGCCTGGGAGTTAGAGGCTACAGTGAGCTATGATTAGGCTGAGCCACAGATCGAGACCTTGTTTCTTAAAAAAAAAAAAAAGGGGGGGGGCGGGGTGAAGAAATACCAAACTGAAAATTTCTGAAACAAATGTGTAATTACTACTACGCTAAACTTTTTTCACACCTTTGTTTGTGAGTCAGTTTCCCTTTAACCTTTGACTCGTAACATAAAGAAGGTTAAGGCCAGAGTCCATCAATGGTTAAAAGATTGTGAGTGAGATGTAGAAAAACAGTACTGATGAATTCTGAAAGGGGAAACCTCATTTCCATTGCCTGGTTCTTGTGCATTGCAGTATTACCACAATATGGCATTCTATACAGCAGATAAATGTAATTATTTATATGTGTATATTGGTTTACACACTGGTGTTCACTGGCTGCTTAAACTTACAAATAACCAAAGATGGCAGTAATGTTTTAAAGTGTAAAGCTGTGCTTCTTTGTTTATAAAATATGATGCTGAACATATTCTTTATTTTCTGATACTGTCATTGCCTTTTTACTGTGTATTTGCTCTTCTTGAGATGAAAATAAGTATGTACCAAAAAATAAATATAGCTTTTTAAGATGAAAAAGCTCAAGTTTCTTATGGAATATTTTTATATCATTATTAAAACAGCCAAACAGACTTTATAGTCCCACTGTAAGTTATATGTAGTTGTTGATTGTTCTAGGTTTAAACTTGGCACCTTTTCTATGTGCTCCCTTATTAAATTAATACTTATGTTCAAACATAAGCTGAGGCAGAACACGTTTCCTTTTCAATAGTTCTCACTAAATTTTGTTTTGATTTTATTTCCAACTGTACTTAATAGCTGAAAGCTTCTTGTGGTTAGGAATAGTATTTGAGATTTTGGTGGCATCTAATTATTTTGAACTTTTAAAGCCTTAAAGAGTGAAATATAAGGCCACAATACATTTTTCTGATAGCTTTCATAGTCTGTTAGTCTGTGTTGCTTATTTTAGGGGGACGATGTCTAAATTGAAATGTTTATCCACTATAGTTGTAATGATCTTTTTCAGCCTCTTTAGAAAGCAGTTCATTGAGCGAAGAAGAGAAAATAAAAAGAAACATAAAAGGGTAATATGCATAGGACTTTTGAGCCTGTTACTATTTCCTAGCTGAAGTTTACTTTAAAAAAAAAAAAGTAGGCATTGGGCAGACACTGTGTGCACGTGTGTTGGAGGAGGAGGCGGGGCCTGCTCATTTGTTTGCCCATTGTGAGGCTGTCCTGCACCTTTGTGCTTTTTTGTAACAGGGTGAAGGCCCCTGAATAGAGGCCTTGTGCCCTGCTTGATTTGAAATCCATGCTGTTTATGGAAAGGAACCTGCAGGGCACCCAGCGGGAAGTCTGTGTGACAAGTGGAAATCTAGAATCTGGAAGAAACGTGGTGTTTGAGGGGGAAGGTGGTGGGGAGAGTGGTCATAATCTTTCAGCCTTTGCTTTTGTGCCCCACAAGCTTAATTGTCACCCTCTGCTGGCAACCAGATTGCAGAGCCACTCTGTAAGTGTCCTTGGATTGCCTGTGCTTACTCTCACCTTATTGTTATCAAATAAAAACCTAGACAAATAGCATTGAATTCTCTTAGAAAAATATGATATGAACTGGGTACATTACTAGTAGAGGTTAAATATCTGAGGCTTTTTTTGTTTGTTTTTTGTTTGTTTGTTTTTTTGGTGGAGATGTATTTAAAGGGAAGAAGGGCTACATGTGAAAAGCTGGAATTATTGGCACGCTCCTGTATTTCAGAGCGTGTTGAAAAGCAGGTCGCACCAACACTAGGCTGGTTAAATCCAGTTTGTACAGCTTGTGTACTTGGTGGTACCAGCTATTGCTCCAAAGTTTCCTGGCTTAAGAAGCCATGTAATTTTAAGTGTGCAAGAAAGGGGTGGGACAGCAGAAGCTTTTTATAGGATTTCAAGTAATAAACATTAATTTTTAAAGCAATATTCCAGGGACTTAACAGAAGTAGAACTTGTATATGATGTTTCTTTAATACCAACACATATTTGAACTGACAAGGGAAGGGAGATAATTTTATTTTAAAGCAATATTTTCCATTCTTTTTTTCTCTTCAATTAGAAACTGGTTCTTCAACTTTCAGTGCCAATTGAGACATGCTATAATAAGTATTTAACAATTCTGTCCTGCTGTTTGACTTCAGGGGGAAACGATGGTAGAATGTTTAGTAGCTGAGCATACACAGGTAGCTAGAGATCTGGTATACAGTAAATGTGGTGTGGTGTGGTATTTGGGTTATATATGCTAATTATTTCAGCACAATGCTGAAACCATGCAGAATACCTCTTGGAAGAGTGTTTGACAAGATGCCAGAAAGGCCGTGTTAATTATAAGTTTATTGTGCCTATTCAGGTTTTTTGGGTGTGTTTTGTTCCCCACTGTTGTTTTATTCTTTATGATGGTTCTCTGAAAACTATGCCCCATGAACATATGGAGTTCTATATATGCGTGTTTATTGGTTTTATAGAAACCTCAGGATCCTATGAGCTTAATAACGATTTACGCTGTTATGTGGGTAATTGAGAGGACCTGTTAAGATATAGTTGATAGTAAGGTTTTCGTTAGTTATTTCAACTTTTTGAGGTAATATTAAAGGCAGTTTGACCAAAATCGGAATTCAACAATCCAGGGAGCTTTTGGTTTGCTCTGGGTTCACTCTGGGTTTAAAGACAGTTTGGTTTGGCTACAGCTGACCTCCCTCCCTGTTTTTATGAACTAGTCTTCTTCCTGCAAAACTCAAATACAGTACTTGGTATGGTCTCATAATAAATTTAGTTGTTAATTATATATATATATATATATATATATATATATATATATATATATATATATAGTTTATATTTCTGCTGTTATTCACTGCTTTTTAAAATTTTTGCTTCTGATAATGTATTAAATTATAGCCATAACATATTTATATGCCTGCTAAAATGTAACAGTTGTTGGTTGTGATAAGCTTTTGTTTTGTTTTGTTCTGTTTTGTTTGACACAGGGTCTCGCTCTGTCACCCAGGCTGGAGTGCAGCGGTGCAGTCAAAGTTCACTGCAGCCTCCACCTCCAGGCTCAAGCTATCCTCCCACCTCAGCCTCCCAAGTAGCTGCACCACCACACTCGGCTAATTTTTTATTATTTTTGTAGAGATGGAGTCTCCCTACATTGCCCAGGCTGGTCTTGAACTCCTGGGCTCAAGCGATCTGCCTGCCTTGATCTCCCGAAGTGCTGGGATTACAGGCATGAGCCACTGTGCCCAGCCAAGCTTTTGTTTAATTTTAGTTACTGAAGAAGCTTATAACTCATTGAGATATTTATGAAGTGCTTTGTGTTTGTGTTTTTTTTTAGGACATGTCTCAGGAAGGCTATGGAACTAGATCTCAACCTCCTCTGGCCCCCGGAAAACCTAACCATGAAGACTTGAACTTAATACAGCAAGAAAGACCATCAAGTTTACCAGTAAGACATTATTGTGCTGATTTGGAAATGTAATGAGTTAAAGACTTTTAGAAAGAGCTGTTGTTTTTGTTTGTTCTACTTTATATTATGACATGATTGAGAAGTTTCTAGACTTCAGGTTTATTTTGTGGTCAATTTTTCAAGGTTTACCTTTTAGGAGCTCTGTAGTCCTGGATAAGTCTATTTCATGTGTATATATCTCTGTTGCAGAGTGTAGACATCAGTTGGAAGGTTTTATGCGGCTGGTCGATTTTGTGTGCAGGTGGTTATTGCTGTTGTACAGTTGAGCTTTCTTTAGGCTGTTGCTTTTTGGCAGCGATACAGAACAGAGGTGTCCTTAGAGGAGTCAAAACTTAAAAGAAATTTGCACTTTGCAAAGGATACAAATGATGAGATAAAATACCTGATAGTAATTTGAATTTCTTCTAGGACTTTCTATTTATGTAATGAGAAATCACCCAAAAGAAGGTAGTTTGAAATTTGAGGCCAGACGCGGTGGCTCACGCCTGTAATCCCAGCTCTTTGGGAGGCCAAGGTGGGCGGATCACTTGAGGTCGGGAGTTCAAGACCAGCCTGACCAACATGGAGAAACCCTATCTCTACTAAAAATACAAAATTAGCCAGGTGTGGTGGTGCCTGCCTGTAATCCCAGCTACTCGGAATGCTGAGGCAGGAGAATCGCTTGAACCCAGGAGGCAGAGGTTGTGGTGAGCCGAGATCACGCCATTGCACTTCAGCCTGGGCAACAAGAGCGAAACTTCATCTCAAAAAAAAAAAAAAAAAAATTGACAAAGCTGTTTATTTCCACCAATAAATAGTATATGGTGATTGGGGTTTCTATTTATAAGAGTAGTGGCTATTATATGGGGTATCATGTTGATGCTCATAAATAGTTCATATCTACTTAATTTGCCTTCTTTTATAGAGAACCTAATTTAAAGGAAGTCTTCTTTATTAACTAAAAGAATAAATCTGCAGGAGGCTGAGGCAGGAGAATCACTTGAACCCAGGAGGCGGAGGTTGCAGTGAGCCGAGATTGCACCACTGCACTCCAGTCTGGGAAACAGAGCGAGACTCCATCTCAAAAAAAAAAAAAAAAAAAAGAATAAATCTATACCAATAAATATTTTTACATTTATTTGAAGAATTGTTGTCATTGCCTAGTTTCTATGGAGAAGGTTTGTTTTAAGATGGGAATTCAGTATAGCCATGATTTTAATTGGAATTTCAACTATGTTTGCATTAACTTAGATTTATTACTTCTAAACATTTGAGAACAGACATTTGTAGTGAATGTTAAACATGACATTTGACATGCGTACCATACCATATACATTTTAATGTATATGCAGATTTAGAGAAGGTAAGTGATGACCACAGGATGTCTACTGTCTTTGAATCTGATGGATATATTTTTGAAACTCTAATTTTTATACCTTTTACTTTTATGTGAGAGAGGGTGAAATCTTATTGTGGTGTTTTTCCCCCCCCCTTTAGTAGTGTTAATGTATTTGTTGTCTAGGTATTTGGTTTTGAAGGAGGGAAATAGGTAATGGATTTTGTGTTGTATGCTGCTAAACTTTCTGTAGCAGATAGTTCGCAGCTTGGTAAGCATGTAGTGTGTACGTGTGTGAGAGAGAGAGAAGGAGAGAGACAGAGGCATGCATGCTGTCGATAAATACTACATTTGCCAAGTATTTGGAAATTAGCTTTTGTGGTTCTATGAAATTTAAATAGATGCATGGGAAGCAGGTAAACAGTGAATTCCACTTTTTTCAGCAGTTTTTTAGTGGTTTTGGAGAGGTTCGACCTTGTAGATTTGTCATTGGCTGATGATTTTGTACTGTGACACAGGTTGGTAAATTTGTCATAAATGGATGCAGATTTTCTGCATAGCTATAAAAATAGTTTGTGGTAAACTGCTTTCTTCATATCTACTCAGAAACTTCAGCATCACTCACTAGTGCGTGCCTTTTGCCATGGATCTGTGTTGGATTGGATGGTTGACATTCAGCTAACTCTACAGTGTTATTAGGGATGGCATGAAGTATTGTAGTTTCAGATAACTGACTGAAGAGTTTGGTCTGGGATAGGAGCTTTTAAGTTGATTGCTGGAAGAGTGGATGAAGGCATTTAGGAGATGAACGAATATAGTCATCAACTGTTTAAATGTTTTCTGAATTGTTCTATTTCTGTCTTGTTATGTATGTATAACAGCTATCTTCCTTAACCTTTATCTTGCCTACTTCCCAAAAGTATTTAAAGTTGTCCATAATGTAAGTTTTTTTTTTAATGAAATACCCCAATTGGTATTTTCTTTCCGTTTTTGTAACTCACAGATAAATAAGATGCTGGTTGACTCAATAGTACTTCAAACACATTTCAATAATCTTTAGAGAGCAGAGTTTCCAGGTTTTATGTTAAGTATGTAGAAGATTCAGTTACTGAATAAAGGACAAACTGTAAGATAACCTGCTACACCTAAAACCCCCAATCTGTTAGGATGAAATTTGGCTGTAGTTAAATGAAATTTATTGCACCACTTTTTTTTTTTTCCACGAGGGCTTTGCATGTGTAAAAACTTTCTGTATGGGGCTTACAAATATTTTAATTTATGTGGATACTTATAATAAGTTGCACACAGCTAAGGTCATTGTGGTTTCAGGGAATGATTTGTTGATACTCTGTTACGGCTCTAATAGTCTGTATTTTACAATGTTACTTTTATTAGATACTGTAGTCCTCTAACTTGGCTGGGTTGATTCTGGAGAGCCCATGAAGCTGTATTTGTTATCACATCTGAATTTGCTGTTGGATCCTTTGTAGATTTACTGTTGTGCTATGGTTTTCCTTTTCAGGTGTCAGGGATATAAATTTTGTCTTTTCACCTACAGTCAATCCATGATATTTGAAACCTGTAGTTTTGTAATTTGGAATTAAGTATATTGTGTTATCTGTACCATTTATGAAATGCAACATAGTGATTCTAATGTGTAATTATTCTGTTCATTTTATGTAATGACGATGACAAGAATGCCTCTCAAGTAGTAATTTCTTAGTCTTTTTGCTTACAGATAGGTTTGTAATGTTTCTGCATGTGATATTTTCTACCTGTATCCTAAGTAGATTTTTCTTTAGCATGTTTGTTACAATGTAACAACTTTGCATTATAAGAAATCAAGGCATTTCCAATATCTTTATGCTACATCTATACTTTGATCCCTCAGCAAGTTGTCCTCACTGTTGTGTGAACCTGTTTTTCTATATTTGCATGCCATTAAATTCTTGATGACCTTCAGTAGGCAATGCAGTTATGTTTTCCAGCTAACTTAGATAGACCTTCACATCATCTGCAGAAGGCAAATGATTGATAAATTAATAACTTGTTCTCTCGTTATCTTGGAGCCATGACCAGTCATATTTACTTTTTGCTTAGTGGACTCAGACCTAAGCACTGAACAAATCCTCCTTAATATCGTCCACTTATTTCTATACCTCTTAGTCGTACAGCATTTCCCTGTTTAGTTGTATTAGTTTATACATCCTTGGTATTACTGTTATTGATAAATCTTAACATTGAAGAGCTCTCTTTCTTAGACTATTATCACTTAAAATTTGAGCACATTTAGCTTTCACGACCTCTAATATTGGTATGAAATAAACCTAGCATTTAAGCTAAAGACACAGTGGAATGTCTAAAAGATGCTGTCAGTTACTTATTTTCTTGTTTCATAAACATTGGATATCCCTCAATTTATATTCCAAGATAGCCCTCAAATATGATTTAATACACTTTTTGTTGAGTGTTCTGTTAAATTTTCACCTCTTGTGGCATTTATTATTTATCCTTTTATTATAGTTATCCTGAACATTGTCTTCGCTCCCCTATTTCACTAGAAGCTTTTCATGGTATTTATTATGTCCTATTCAGTAAATATTTTCCTCAAAAATTTCTATAAAAATTATTTTAAAATAAATTATTTCCTCATTTTCAGAATTTTCTTTTAATTGCTAAGGGATCTGTTAGGTGGCATTGAATGGCTCTCGGGGCACCTGTGCTCTCTGTGCTGGTGCTGCTGAGTGATTAAATGGGTGGATGTCTGCATCGCCAGGTGGGTGTTATTCTTAAAATGATTCTATTTTACCAAGTGACATTTGGATTTACTTTGGTAACCATAGCTTTAGGAAAAGAAGTGGACACTTTGGATAATTAAGCTAAAAATACCCTAAAAGCATTCTGTTCTTAGTAATACATCTTTTTTACTTATAAAAAATTAATTGACAGAAATGGTAATCATAAGTTCAGTAATTATATTACAGATGGGTAGTTAATAAAATATTCGTAAACATGTATAAAGGGAAGTAAACATGAAAAAGGAAAAAGTTTTATTTTCTTATAAAACACTATATAAGCACTTTCTTATAGTGCTTTTCCCTCCAGGGATCTGAAGAGTTGTTAATATTCCTCAGTTTAAAAATAACTAATTTGTTTTATTCTTCAGAGAGGCATGCTGCTAGCTTTGTATTTCAGATAGGAGGTTCATTATTCTGTTTACCTAAGATATAGAATACAATCAGTTTGGAATACAATCAGTTTGGCAGTCATACTCTAAGAGCGTTTGAAAATGGACTGCTTTGTTAGGACTTTGTGAAATATTTCTATAAATATTGGCTGTTCTAGAAGGCTCATCAGGTCATTAAAAACCTCTTTGTGACCCTTTCTTCCTTAAATAGGAAATATCTAAAGAGGTTGGCATGAAAACGGTTTGATCTTTCTGAGTTAACTAAAAATCCCTGAATGTGTTGAATAGTGCTTATGGCACTTTTGTTGAGTTTGCAATTAGACGGAAATATTGGGCTTTAGATAAAACATATGTTTTTTGGCTCTTTGTGAAAGGAAGGAGGTAGTAAATGCTGGTCGTTCTTTGAAATAGAGGGTGTTAAACAGGATATTGGAAGCCTGAAAGAGAATGGTTGGAAAACTTTTATTACCAAGAATATTCTTGGGGCTTGGCTATTAGCCGCAGAGCATGCAGCGTTCTGCCTTTAATTCAAGAAGAATACTCTGTTTGTGTTGGTTTTTGTTTCTTAATCTTTAATGACACTTACGTTGGTTAGTGGCAAAAGGTCATGTGTTTTGGAAGCATGTTTGAATATTGCTGACATTCATATGGATGTTCTAAGCATGTAGATTTGATAATACTGTGAATGATTGGAAACTACCGGGAAAAGCTTTTTAACTGGGTTCAGCTTTTTGCTAGTTCTCAGTCCAACCCAGCTAGAAATGTAAATTGCTAAGACCATCTGAACCTGTGAGCTGGCAGGTTTTGGCAAAAGTTAAAATCTACCAGGTAAGAATTAGGTGTATGGCTATTGAATGAAGTATTTTGAAACCTTTTTATTTGAGGTTGATTTAAATGGTTGTCATTAAAAGGTTAAGAGTGGAGCTGTCTTCCGTTGATTGATCCTTCTCAAATCCTTATGAACATTAAAAAAATTATAAGTTAATGAAGGAAAACCCATATCTGTCATCAGGCTTATCTCAGTGTTCAGGCATGGATGATGCCTGTGTGTTGCTGAAGACTTAAGCTGTTTATTATCAGTATTCTCAAAATGTTATTAGGCTATGTTGAGTTTTAGAGTTTCAGAGAAAATACTTTATAAAATGGAAGCCTCCTGTGCCAGGGAGGAAGAGGAGGTTCTCTGAAGGATGGTGCCCTGTCCCCCAGAACAGCTACAGGCATACCTTATCATCTGCATCGTTTCAAAACCAAAGGTACAGATGCATTTTGATGTCTTGGGGAAGTTTTAAAGGGAACATGCAATACTTCAGCTTCTTAGGATTCATCAAGTTCTTGAACATAATTTTCATCACTGGTCTGTTCTATCTGGAGATATCAGTTATTTTTGGATTAAGATTAAGAGCATTTCAGGACCTTGCTGGAAAACCTGAATTTAGAAAATATGATAGTGACTCTGACAGATGTTTATTTTCCAAAATGGATTATTTCTTTAGGATGTGATATCCTGTGATTTTATTCCCTAGGATATTTTCATGATATTGATAGTCATTTTGAAAATAGAGGATAATGCTTGAACTTGAACAAGGTAGGAAGCAGGAAGGTATGTCTGTCTCCTTCTTTCAAAACAATCTTCCATTTAAATATTTGTTCTGTAAATGAAAATTCAATAAAACCTTAACAGTTTGGAATTCTTCCAGGAAAAAACAGGCTAAATATAATGGAAAGTCTGAATAAATTAATATTGAGAAAGAACTATAGTTTGCTTTTAAATAATTCAGATGTTTGTGTGCAAAGTGTTTCTAAGTTGACATACTCAGTTCCCGTTAAAATAAAATTCTGAATTCGTCATAGCTGAGATATTTGCTTAGTGGTAATGTTTTAATTTTAAGAATTTGTTTAATTTTTTAAAATACATTTCAACTAAGCATGCCCCTGAAAACTTTTTCATATAGTATTCTGAAGATTTCCATTTAAAATATGGGGGAAATGAATTTCAACCCATTTTATAGGAGTGTCAATTAGTTCCTAAAAAATTAATGAAGGAGTATGAAGGAGTACTATAAAAAAATAGACACTAGACAAAATTGGAGATTAAGAGAGGCTGAAGCATAACTGATTTGCAGGATATTGGTTTTGATAATAGAAGGATAAGGATGATCTATAGTTGATAAATGAGGCTCATTAAGTAAGAGATGATAAATGCAGATATTCCTGGCTAATAGAAAAGTCAGCATACAAATTTTGCCATAACAAGTGAGGGATGGGCAGGCTTTGACCAGCTTGCAGCTCTTCCAGTGACCTCTGTGAGGCCACGGAGCTCTTCTGTGGTCTGGATGCCTGGGCCACAGAGGCAGCGTGGACCCCATGGGCCTCAGGCCAGCAGAAGGGGGAGCCAGAGTGGGTCTCAGGGAGTCTAGAGCCACCTAGAGCAGAGCTTACAAGGAGCTCCACAATGGTGCAGAGGCCAGGGCAGGACTGCAGCTCCTGCAAGTGTAACTTTTTATTTTTTATGCTAAAAAGAAAAAAAAAAAAACACATGACTCTAATGTTCTGAGGTCCCTCTTCTCACCCTAGCCTGCACTTCTGGTTTTGGCATGGCAGTGCCTGCCATGTTGGGCTAGATGCCACCATCTTCACCCACCCATCCTCCTCCTCCTATTGCTTCTCCTGGGCATTGGGATCTGCTGCCTCCAGCTCCTGCAGGCAATGGCCAGTGTGAGGCGTTGAATGCATTCTACTTTATATTATCCAAGTTAGGTGGGAAATAGCTTTTAATTTACAGATTTTCACTTCGCAGGTAACTCTGAAGGCACACATCTGTTTTATATAACAAGGGATATATAACCAGCAGGAGCTCATAGTAGCATTTGTAGACTGGTTATTTGCTTTTATGTTTCTTTGGGACTGGAAGTAACAATTTTTAATGTTAACTGTCAGTTTAGGAGAGGAAATAAATACATGTAGAGAAGGTTCTACCTGAGCCAAAATTTCCCATTCTTCCCTCACAATGTAGGATTTTAGAGGTGTCTCTCTTGTTTTCTCATCTTTTTCTTTTGCCTTCTCTAAATTGTTGTAAAATAACTGAATGGTCTTGTTTTCCTTTGTTTGGGTCAAGAAATTTTAGCGGAAAATTGTTACTGTGTGAAAGAAGATTATTGACTCAACAAGCCTTCAATTTTCCGTGAATAACACTCCCACCCCCTAGCTTCAGGAACATGCCGTGCGTGCATTCTATTTTAAAATATAGACTGTAATTTAAAACAGGCATTTTGATGCCCCACTGAACTTTGTTTAAGCCTGGAATAAAAGAGGAGAAAAAAGCTGTAAGCCACAAAAAAGTGACTAAGCTTTCTCAACTACTTTTCTTCATAATGCATTCTTTAAAAAAAAAAAAAAAGCATGTTGGTACGATTGTCTCTTTCCACAGGACCGAAATTGTACCCAATTTTAGATCATGGTGTGCACATCTTTCTACTTGGTTCGTGATTGAGATACCATTTACATTTTTCAGTGCACAGGTTTGTATTTGTTGCTGTCTGTATGCATGCATCTGTGCATATGGTACGTGTTCATTGCATGTGAGAATATTCTAAAATTACGTATATCATTTTTAGCACTCACTTACTAATAGCTAATTTTTTAGAGCTCTTGATTTAACCTGATTATTAGACTGAAATGAAATAAATATTTAACTACAATTTTATTTACCATCGGGTCATTGTAAAAATTGTGATTTGAAAGTAGTTTATATTACTTGCCTTTTTTCCTCCTCACAAAAATGAAAATAAACAGCTTATAATGACTTGTATGGAAGAAACAATTGCTTTACTGTTTTTATAAAATAATATGTTTTGGCTGGGAGACCTATTCTAATCGCCACACTGAATGCCAACAGGGCAGACTCTCAGCTAAGGTTCTGGCCTTGAGCAATACACGTCATTTCTCAGAGCTTCTGTTTCTTTGAAAAATGAGTAAGTTAGATTTAGGAAACTCTAGCACCTTCTAGCTCCAAAATTTTACATTAAAAGCCATCTTTGTTAGTGTATGAGAAAAAGCACTGATAAAAACGGGCCCTTTGCATTTGGGAAAAAGTCAGTGGAGTGAGTAAAGTGCGGGTACATTGAAATCTTCAGAAACGGCTCCTGTGTGCTGCTTGGTGGCCTCTCTTCCATTCTCCGATGCCATTTGCTTTTGTAGCAGGGACACTTGAACTTATTGAGGGATTTGGGGTTGCCTTACTGAGTATATAATCTTACTATGCAGGCCATTGGAGAGCCGCAGACCTTCCTGTGGTCTCCCTCTTCTTGTTCATCCTAGAGATTCCAGAGGTCCTCCTTCCTCTCCTGTATGATCAGTTTGGGAGCCGTGATGTCGTTGCATATAGGGAAGTCTAGGGAAAAGGAAAAAACTTCATGGGAAAGGGAAGGGGGAGGCAGAACAACCAACCAGCCAACCAAATAAATGAAAAAGCTGCAGGACGCCGAAATCTTTGTAATGCAAAGGCTAATGCCAACCGGATGGTTTTCTGAACCAAGTTGATCATGTGGCAGTTGCTTTTCATTTCTTGGTGGGGGAAGGAAGGCCCTAAGGGCATGTATCTGAGGCCTCCCTTCACCTCCAAACCTCAGGTTTACATTTGTTATACTAAAAAGTCATTCATAAACACACTATGCTTTTTAAACCGAGATTGACATGAATGGAAGTAGTAGCAACCCAGAGACATGAAAAACCACTGTTCGTCTTTAATGAAACCCAAGCTGTTTTCCTGGAGAATGCCTCCTGCATCCCCTGCAAGCTTTTTCTTCTTCTTCTTCTTTTTCTTTTCCTTTTTTTTTTTTTTTGAGACGGAGTCTCGCTGTGTCGCCCAGGCTGGAGTGTAGTGGCTCGATCTCGGCTCACTGCAACCTCTGCCTCCCAGGTTCCTGCCATTCTCCTGCCTCAGCCTCCCGAGTAGCTGGGACTACAGGCACTTGCCACCAAGTCGGGCTAATTTTTTTGTATATTTTTTTTTTTTTTTAGTAGAGACGGGGTTTCACCATGTTAGCCAGGATGGTCTTGATCTCCTGACCTTGTGATCCGCCCGCCTCTGCCACCCAAAGTACTGGGATGACCGGTGTGAGCCCCCGCATCCGGCTTTTTTTTTTTTTTTTTTTTTTTTTTTTTTTTTTTGTGAGTGTTTAGAGCTCACTGGTTTTGATCTGGGTAGAGTGGTGTGTTACAGTTCTCATTTTTACTTGTTTTCTCACTGCTCTTTCTGTCAGAGCACAAAATGGTATGCACTGAGGCAGTGGCAGAAGCCATGTCCGCTCCTCAGGCAGATGTCCTCTCTAAAGCAGGCCACAGTGAGCCTGGGGACCACCGAGTGTGCTGCGGCCTCCTGGCACCTGTGCCTGCAGATTCTTTCCTGTTTTTAGAATTTCCTGACTTGCGTAGGTAGGGATCTCCCTGAGTCTTTCTTTTCCCCATGGGCATGGGTGGTTGAGCTGTGCAGTGAGTCAGTCCACACCTGGGGAAAATGTGTAGTTGGTCTTTTGGAATTATGCTGTACCCGGAAAAAGTTTGGCTTTAGAATGGTAATATGACACTTCATTCATTGGACACTATTTTTGAAAGTCTGGTTGTATATAAATGAAAATAGTGTCTGGGCATGGTGGCCCAGCACTTTGGAAAGCCATGAGTGGGCAGATTTCTTGAGCCTAGGAGCTTGAGACCGGCCTGGCCAACATGGTGAAACCCCATCTTCACTAAAAATACAAAAATTACCTGGGTGTGGTAGGGCATGCCTGTGGTCTGAACTACTTTGTGAGGCCGATGTGGGAGGATGGCTTGAGCCTGAGAGATGGAGGCTGCAGTGAGCAGTGATCACGTCACTGTACTCCAGCCTGGGCAACAGAGCAAGACCCTGTCTCAACAACGACAAAGGTGAAAATATTAGTTAATGGACACTAGAAACTGCTAGTAAAAGAAGAATAATGGGCCAGGCGTGGTGGCTCATGCCTTTAATCCCAGCACTTCAGGAGGCCAAGGCGGGCAGACCACTTGAGGTCAGGAGTTCAAGACCAGCCTGGCCAACATGGTGAAACCCCGTCTCTACTAAAAATACGAAAAAAAAAAAAAAAAATGTTCGCCGGGCATGGCAGTGCACGCCTGTTATCCCAGCTGCTCGGGAGGCTGAGGCAAGAGAATTGCTTGAACCTGGGAGGTGGAGGTTGCCGTGAGCCGAGATTGTGCCATTGCACTCCAGTCTGGGCGACAGAGTGAGACTCCATCTCAAAAAATAAAAAATAAATAATAAATAAATAAATAAATATGCCCATTAGTGAGTGTCCAAGATAGAGGTGTGTGAATTTTAAAGACAGGGCTTCCTGACATCTATGTGCCTGCCTAAAGCCCACTCCATTCTTCTATAGTATTTCGAAAGTCTAGAGCTTTCAGGTTACTAAGCGCATTGTAACGCCCTTTTAACATATGCAAAACTTCATTTTCGAAATGCTGTCATGACCCTGGAGCAGGGACACAACTTGAGAGTGTTAGCTCAGCGATGCTGTGAAATTGTGGTGGCAGTGGGAGTGCAGAGGAAGAAAATTGTTGGAATAGAGGGAGGGAGGGAGGGAAGGAGGATAGATGCTTTTGAGGTTTTTAATCTGTGTGACCAGGATGTGTTGGTGGCGTTGCTGACAAACACAGGGAAACGGTGGTGGGAAGAGAAAGGAATGCCCAGAGATTTTTATGAGAGTAAAGCAAGTCCTGAATAACTGCTCAAATCCTGTAACATCTAAAAGGAAGCAACTCACTCATCTTTGCTACTAAAGCCTTATTTCTTATATAGTTCTTTATAGAAGTAAAACAT
Source organism: Homo sapiens (assembly GCF_000001405.40). Taxonomy (NCBI): domain Eukaryota; kingdom Metazoa; phylum Chordata; class Mammalia; order Primates; family Hominidae; genus Homo; species Homo sapiens. The sequence continues at coordinate 156,946,950 of NC_000006.12, forward strand.
TGTCATAAATTAGAATTGATGTTGAAATATTGATGGCATTGGCTATAACTTTGCATTTCATTTAAATTTTTGGAGATGATTTGAAGGGTATTGTAGCAGACTGTGTATAAACAACTCCACACATCATCCCAGAGTGTCTCTAACTGTAACTGGGACTAGGGCAAGAGCACAGTCCCAAGATAAAAATTGAAACTCTGTAGTTCAGTTGGGACTCAGGCTAGTCTTATTTTCTTTGCTTTTAGGATAGTGCAGTAAATTTCTATCCAAATAGGTTCCTTTCCTTGGGTAAAGACAAGTTACTTTGTATTTCTTTGTTTGATATATACTTTTGAATGATTTGGGCTACATTCTTACTTTAGTTCATTTTGGAGGAATATTTCTTAGTTTAATTTGTCTCATTATTAATTCCTCCTTCTCTGAAACTTTTTGGGGATATAGGTATGTATGGCATAGTCTACAAATTTAATGCCTTTACTTGTTTTTTTCTTTTTTGCAGATGTAGGGCGTGTGAGTATGGGGCGATGGTGCAGGGAACCTTGCTTTAACATGCTATTTTGAAAGATATCCCCTTTTATTTTGTAGAAATGGGTTACCACGTTGAGCACCAGGAGTTTCTTGTACATTTGGATCCTAGCAGAGGAAATGGGACTTTAGAAAGATTACTCTGAACTCTGAAGGGCTAATTTAAAAAAAAAAAAAAAATCAAGCCCCTCCCCCTATTTTTTCTTCATTTTTAAAAAGGCCTGTCATTTTACTCCAGGAAATGACAAAGAAAAGAGCAAAGGTTTTGCTTTAGGGATGAAGGGAAAAACTTTTGGCTTAATTTGTTTAAAAAATTCTTTTTGTATAAGCTAAAGATGAAACATATTACAGTTGCCAAGGGCAATTAATGAAACAAGAAAAATTAAAATTAATGATTTCTTAACATGCATGTATTTTTATATATTTAATTTGATTTGGATTATTTTTGAGCTGTAATTTCCAGCTACGAAAACAGAGACTCCAGAATGGCAGGACAGCTGAACAGTGGTGGAATAGTGGTCTGTCTGGAGCTTGTTCCAGTCATGACAGCAGCTCCTTCAGGCACCTGCTCCTGAGCATGGTGCCACCATGGTGTCCTGTGAGCTTTTTCAAAGCTAAAACAGTCTCTCCTTTTAAATAAAAAAACTATTTTGCTAATTTTGATTAAAGTTAGGGGTATTCTTGAATAAATACAAATGTGGTCAAATTTCCCCAAATGTGTTTGCTTTTCATAGTTGCTGCATTTATTTATTTATTTCTATTTAATATGTTTTTGAGACAGAGTCTTGCTCTGTCACCTACGCTGGAGTGCAAGGGCATGATCATAGCCTTGAACGCCTAGACTCAGCCTCCCACCTCAGCCTCTCGAGTAGCTGGAACTATAGGCGTGTGCCACCACGCCTGGCTAATTTTTAAATTTCTTATAGAGATGGGGGGGCAGTGGGTGGTGGGGGTGGAGGGTGTCTCACTCTGTTGCCAGGCTGGTGTTGAACTCCTGGCCTCATGTGGTCCTCCCACCTCTGCCGCCCGCCCAAGTGCTGGAATTGCAGATGTGAGCCACAGTGCCCAGCCCCATAGTTGCTGCATTTATGCCTTTCTTTAGCCAGCATGCCTAAATGTTGACATCCTCAATTAAGACACAGTATCTTGTCTTTTCCACATCTCAATGATGCAGAAAAATTCAGTTATGTTTAGTAATCATTTATTGTGTCTAATGTCTAAGATTTTATATTAGATGTAAAGAAAAATAAATAAAAAATCAAATTATTTCACTGGCTTATTAATGTCTGTTCTTTCCCATAACACATTCAGGAATAAGAAAAGAAATCCTCAACAGAAAATATCTACTTTTGGGATACTGGTTACTGAAAATACTTTAACATCTTTTTTCATTTTATCTTCAGAGAACCACGTACCTATAGTTGCAGAATTCATACTTTCAGCACATATAATTTCACAGAAGTGTTTTGCCATCTTGTGGAAGTCTTGACTATTTGAAAGTTTAAGAGCAGCAATGGCTATGACACAACTGTGGTCAGAGCTTTTTATACAAGACATTCAGGTGGCATTGAGTCACGTCTTATCAGTGCTGGTGATTTCAGAGGAAGAGAACACTGCCTTCCAAGTCTCCCAACCCTTTTGTGAACACCTGGTGTAGAAGAGTAATGTTTATGCTGGCTTTCTTGAGTGGCTTCATGAGGATTTTATTATTTTTACTACTTTTTTTGCTGACTTAATTGGCATTTTCTATGTTTTATAGGGATAAAAACATCTTTCATATAATTCTGGCCTGTTTTAGGGGTATCAGATATATATATCTAAATATGCACGTTGTTGTTTGACAAAGAACATTTCACACCTAATTGAGCTTTTCAGCCGGGATACTCCACCTAGAGTACTTTGCACATACATGAGATCTAAGGTTCATAAACCACTTTGGCAGTGCCTGCCACATTCACAAGTGTCCACTGAATGTCAATTTCTTGCCTTTTCTTTGCCCTCCTCCTTTTGTGAAATGATATTTGGCTTCCAGGGCCTGTCAGGGCTGCCGGTGCACCACACTTCCCTGAGATTCAGCATTCCTTTCCTATGAGCAAGGAACTGGAACAGGCGGCTGACTCTTGTCTAAATCAGATCCCCAGGACTCCTAGCCTGTGACTTCATTGCTGAACCCCAATGCTGCAGTACTCTTTGGATGCAGAGAATGTTGGTGTAAATGCCACTGAGGTTCTTCTGCATCCATTTTATTTCATGTTCCTCAGTTTTATATTTTTTATATTTTATCAGTTTTACCCTGCACAGAAGAACATAAAGAAGAGAAAACTACATTAATAAACCTTGTGTTTTTAAGAATTTCCCCAGTATTACGCTGCCATTTTTGGTTTGTTGAGCTACCAAAAACTAAACTATGGGGACGAGTGAAGATGAAGGGGTGAAATCCTCTAGGTTTTAATACATTTTAATTAATTATTCCTAACAAGTGAATTATTTCTAACTTGTGAATTATTTCTAACTCCTTAGGAATAATTATAGGTGTATAGTTTGGACAATTAAAATATGTTGATAATTCGGAAATGTGATGTTAGTGACTAGTGTTAGACTAATCTGCACCCCAGCTTTATCCTCAGAGTCGGTTGGTAGCATAGTGGCTGCAGTGATTGGGGTTCACCCTCCCTTGCTCATTTCAGCTCATGGTATTACTAGTGAGTAGCAAGATCACCTAAAAGAAGGCAAAAGCAAAGGCATAGGTACAGATCTACTTGGTTTGCAGCAAATCTGCTTTAGGCAAACTCCTTACATTGCTCAAAGAGTTTTCAGAGTTTTGGTACAAACACCATATAACCGTAATAGGAGCAACCAGCCATGAAGGATAACACAGGTCTTTAGTGGAAGACCAAAGATGGTGAATCAGGTAGTATCACTAAATGCACTTTTAAGTCAAATACTTAATGTTGAAACTTTATTTAAAATATTATATAGGTTTGTGTATATATATGGGGATGTAAGAGAAAGGGACATGCCTAAATAATTACGTTAATATAGGAAATATACCTTTTTCAATTCTGCCTTCTTCCATCGCAGTTGATTAGATGACATTAAATGAATATGTTGTTGTGGGCCAGGTGGTATTTTGCGGGGGGGTAACAACCTGAAAGTTGTCCTGGTTTTTTAGCGCTGCTCTTTCCGAGTCTTATTTATTGAAGTTTAAACTATTCATAAGATCTAGTGGTAACTGCTGTAAAGGTAACTGGGGAAGTTATAGAGGAAATGACTATGACTTTACCGTTGCAAATAGATTAATGCACTTTACTTTTCCCCAACATTTTTATTGACTGTCCTGTCATATCCCTTCTTAAATCATACTTACTGTTACCAGTTTTACCTTTGAATTTACCTACAAACCTAATTTCTCATTAAAACAATAAAAATGTATGAAGTATAATATAATTGATGCAATTTTAGCCTCCCTAATGAATTTTTTAAAATACTCTGGTATTTTAATATAAAGTATTACCCAGATACTCTATAACTTAATGATCAAAATTTAAGAATTAATTTCTTTATAAAAGTGTTTAAAAATAGCTTGGATGAGGTATTCTTTCAACATGTATCCCTGAAAATTATAAATAAATGGTTATTTTTAAATATACCAGTGGCCACTTTTAACTGAAAGAGTCCTGGTGTGACAGAATGTTTCATATCCTATGATGTTTTTATATAGAATTTATAACCCTTGTGCTTCCAGAAAGGATTTGAGCTGACTTACAGTAAAACGTTTGTATAAACAAAGACTGCTCCAAGCGGATTACAAATTCTTAAAAAAGTTTGAAAAAGAGAGAAGCAAACAAACCATGATAATGCAGTTACTGATGAATAATGATTAAATTTAAGGCTACATTCCTGACTAGCAAAGTAAAGGGGAAAAATTGGGATTACCTAATTATTAAAGTAAAACACTTCATTTATTTTCTTTCTTTTTCTTTTTTTTTTGAAATGGAGTCTCGCTCTGTCATCCAGGCTGGAGTGCAGTGGTGCCATCTCGGCTCACTGCAAGCTCCACCTCCTGGGTTTACGCCATTCTTCTGCCTCAGCCTCCTGAGTAGCTGGGACTACAGGCGCCCGCCACCACGCCCAACTAATTTTTTGTGTTTTTAGTAGAGATGGGGTTTCACTGTATTAGCCAGGATGGTCTCAATCTCCTGACCTCGTGATCCGCCCGCCTCAGCCTTCCAAAGTGTTGGGATTACAGGTGTGAGCCACCGCACCTGGCCAACACTTCATTTCTTAAGAAAGGAATATTATTTTTCTTTTATTATATTGTAAAAGGAAATACTTTATAAAGGAATATATACTCTTTTGAAAATAGTGAATAATGAGTCCAAAATATGAGTTTTTAATATAGTGCTAAAAAAGTGGTTTCATGTTTGGGAAAATTATCAAAGGCCTAAATTAGGTGTCATGCCACATAAATGATTGAATAATTATCTGTTTTTGCTGTAACTTGCTTAACTACTTTGTTACTCTGTCCAAAGAAGTAGCTTATTGAACCCATTTTTATTTCACAATAATTTTTAAAAATAATTATTTTATAAGCATAAAACGTGTACCAGGGTGGAAACCCATTTAGTCAGGAAAGAGTTGAATTGTGAAGAGAGTGTTTTTTTATACATGTGTTTTTCTTTGTTTTGAGGGATAGGTGTGTGAGTGACATTTGTAATTTAGCTTGTTTTTCTGGGAAGAAGATTGCTGATCCTTGGGTTTAAAGATGAGGGCTCAAGATTAATTGATGAGACTAGTGATGGTCTAAATTTTACAGAACATGCATGCCACTAATAGCTTAATAGTTAGGATGATAACAGTTTGTGAGTGAATTTATGTGCTTTATTTTTCTCGAACTTACTGACTTTGAATACGTTATAAAATTGGAGCTGTGCTCCTAAGGAGTAACATGGAACTCCATCATAGGTCCACCTCCAGCAAAAGGCTAGCAGGGGTGGTGGGGACACTGAGGCTGGCTTGATTTCCCATCCTGCCCCCCATGGTTGGTCGTGGGAAGAAGGTCGGGCTGCCGTGGCTCCTGTGCACTTTGGTTGCTGAGAGTGGTTGTGGGCAGCAGGCCGGTGAGCAGTGGGGGCAGGGATCTTGACACCAGCCCTTGTTGGACTCCACACCCTTCTGACCATTCATCCACCTTTGGGAGTGGGGAGCAGGGTCTGTTGAAAGAGGCAGCCGTGTCATGCTCCTGTTAGTAAGGGAACTAGACTTTTTTGAGCCTAAAACCATACAAGAGAATTCAACAGAAAGAGAATTTAATGTATATATTCATTCTTGTAAAACAATAATATTGTAGTAAAACTTACATCTGTGTGTTTGCTGGCCAGGCTAGTCATTTATGACTTTCTTCGAGTAAGCGAAAATCCTTGGAGTCTGGCAATTCTTCCTTGTAGGGAATCTTCAAGAAGACTTTAGCTCCAACTTTATTCTTTTGTATTTCATTACCTCTGGGAAAATTACTAGCTGGGCATTTTGTGGCATTCTCAACCTCAACTCTAGGGCTAGTGCTTTTAAAATCTGGTCAACTGCGTAATTGTGAAACAGTACTGTGTCAGCTTTATGCACTTATTATTATTTTTTTAAGACACAAAAACTTACAAATTGGCAAATTGTTTTTCAGTGTTTTCCCCTTCACAGGGCTTTAAAAATATCTTGAGTATGTTGGGGTTAGATTGGGTGGTTGGAAAGCAAAGCTCCAAGTGCTAGAATGGACGGCTGCCCTCTGCAGCTTCAACACAGGGATCCACTCAGCCCCCTTAGCTGACTACTGGTGCTTAAAACGGTTTTTGACAAACGCCAGAGTTTCACAAATATAGAAGTAGCAGTTATAGAGGTGGTTTTGCAAGTCCCTTGGAACATTCATGCAGGTCTGCAGTCACTCTTAATTTGAATGAGAAAGAAGATGGTAGAAACTATTTTTATTTTCTCCTGGGAGCAAGAGAAAAGGAAGGCTAGAACTCTGTACTATGTAATTTTAAAAAAAGAAAAAAATCGGACTCCATTGAGATTCTTTCTTGTTTACTTTTTGTTTTACTCTCTCTGTCTCCTAGTATGTTTGACTAATGTAAGTCTTCCCCCAGGAATATGAGAATATGTGGTACCGTCCGCCTCATAACCTTCCTGGATATTTTTATAATTTATCATCAGCTGACACTGCTTGGGTAGAATATTCTTACCACTCCCTCTGGCTGCTGGAAGTCTGAAATTACATCTTTGTCTTTGAAGTCAGGCATACTGTTAGCGTTGCTATGGTGACAGGGTGGGTAATGGCCTCCGCAGACAGGAGATTGGTATTTAGCGTTTAAACACTGCTGTACACAAGGCCTTGATTTTTAGAGTGGTTACTGAACTATCCCCTTTTAGTAAATGTTTAAAAATTACATTTTTACATGGTCTTACTAGATTAATAGTCATGGTTTATTTCATTTTAACTGCAAGGATAAAAGCATTATTCCATTAAATGGGCAGCTTTTTTTTCTCTTTTGGTTTATGCATTATTAACACAGGCTTTCCTGTTTTGCTTGTAACATTTTATAGGCTTTTTCAAACACGCAGTCAGATTTGCTCTGTTGCTCCTTTATTTTTTGGACTTAGCCCATTATCTGCTTGATCTTGGACAATTTCAGAGGAGACAAAGTTCTAAGGAACTAAGCTTTTAAAATATTAAAAATGAAGTTCTTTTTTTTTTTTAATGTATGAGTGATAATATTGATCAAGATGTCTCTTTGGTTTCAAGTTTCTAGTTAGCCCCTTTCCTGAACTATACCCTCACATGAGATAGTAAAGGAAGGACAGTTTATGGTTCTGGAGAACTGTTGGACATTTTGAAAATGCTTTAGTTGATGTAACTTTCGAAGCAATATGCTCTGACATAGTCAGCCTGTGTGGAATGAGGCCGTTTGCACACACATACATATGATTTTTTTTTATCTGTGAGTATTTTGTCTTTAGAATAAAGATGAATCTTAATAGTTTGTATGGTATATACAAGTCCCTGTCTACCTGATACATAAACTGCTACTAAAACATCATTTTTAATGTCTTGTGATACAGAATTTATTACTTTATGAGGTATTTTATTTGTGGTAATTTAAATTGTTTAGGAAGTTTTTCCTTACATTAGCTCGAACTGTTTTTTTTGTTTGTTTTTTTAAATCCTGGTTCTACTTCTGCCTTCTTAAACCACACAAGGTAAATCTAAATCCTTCTTCTATATGACGGCTGTTCACGTATTTGAAGATAGTTTTCATTTACTAGGATTTCTTCTGGGCTATTAATAGTTACTTTAACTATTTCCCCCACTGTGTGGTCTCAAGTTCCCCTGCACCCTATTCTTAATTCCTTAATGAGCTTCATTTTTGTATAAGCACCTCTAAATGTGATATCCACAACCAAAGGGCAGGCTCCAAAGGCATGGCTGGCGGAGGCCACCTGGCCCGCTTTGTGTTGGACCGTCACGCTGCCGTGTATCGGAGGCGTCAGGGTCTGCAGGGCTTTGCGGCAGCTGCAGCCCACTCTTGCCACTGTGATGGGAGCTGCTCTGAAGGATACGTCTCATCCATCCTGCACCTGAGCTCAAGTGCTCATCGACCCTTCCTGGCTGCTGTTGGACTGGGTCGGGGCTGTTGTTCAAGCTTGCTAACGTGTGTTAGGATCCTGAATCTGGCATCTGTTGTATTTAGTGTAATTCCTACCTTTGTGTCCCCTCTGAATTTGTATCTCATGATAGCTCTTAATACAGAAAGTTAAATAGGCTAAATCCAGAGCTTTCTGACATTCTGGTTATTGCCATTCAACCAGGTGTGATAAACCTAGAGCTACTGTATGTTCCAGGCCATACATTACATATTAACCACAATCCTGTCCTAGAGACTTTATCTGAGGCTAGGTGGGGATCCAGAACAACGCTATAGTCCTTTCTGTATATGTTATAGTGCTGTCTTCCAGAATGACTTATTGTGGATTATATATGACTTCCAATGATGTAACACATATAAAGGCTCTGTAATAATTGAAAGTTATACATAATTTGCTATTGACATAATTTTATCTTTATCAAGTTTTCTACATGAGAGGAGAAAATCTACCTTTTAAGCTAGTTCACCTTGCCACCTGAGTGATACGCCTCAGCTCCTTCCCTGTGTCCAGGAGGAACAGCCAAGATAAACATCAAGAAAAGGTAGGAGAACCTATGCCCATCTCCAGAAGGGCCCTAGAAACAGAGCCTGGATGTCATGGGGTCCAAGGCAGAAGATACTCGCCCTGGACTTGGGATCTTAGAAATGAAGTAGCCCCATTTCAGGGGCCTAAGATTTTAGGGAGGAGGGCTGTTGGTCTCAGAAACCCTATCCTGTTAGGAAGGTTACTGGAGGCCGCTGGTGGTGGAAGCCGCGCCTGTTCTATTTCCTCACCTTCCTGTGTTCATCTGTGTATCTGCCAAGTGCCCTGTGCTTTGCTTTTTACCACCAACTGCTTGACAGCCGTCCAGGACTGCTGGGTTCTGGACATAAGGTCAGATAAAACTGGCCTAGTCTTTTCTAGGGATGTAAACCTTGGGGAAGACATGCACCAGTGGCCTGGTACTGGGGACAAGAGCAGGGCCTCTGCTTCTGTAGTGCACAGGGGCTGCCTCTAGCAGGGGAAGGAGGTGGGAGGCAAGTGGGCCACTCAGAAAAAGACATTCTTTTTTGAATGAGTCCCAGGTACTTTTGTGAGTTCATGGAGGCTGGCCCATAATTTCCACTCGGACTTGTCATAAACTCTCCCTGCTTCTTACCCCCACCCTTCTCTCAGAAGCCAGGACTCAGTGAGTTCTGGGCATGGGAACCTGGGAGGCAGAGCACTTACAAATGAAAATTTGGCAATAAGTTTTATAGACTGGAAAAAAATTGCTTCAGACCAGTGCTGGTAGCAGTGGAGTGGCAGATAGGAAATAGTCCTCTGGAGGTGGCCTCTAGGGACAGCAGCCCTTTCTGTGGTCAGTCCATAGACCCTCTGCTGGGTCACCATGGAGGCTTCTTTAACCAGCCTGCAGTTTCAGCTTGAGTTTGGGGTGAAGGGTGGATGACAGCTTCTTAGTCCACTGATATCTTAATGAGATTTCCATTCAGTGTATTTTGCATCTCCCTCCAAAAGGAAAAATATATGAGTGAATTTTGTTTATAGCATGTGTAGCAGGCAGGATGTTGCAGGGACTTTGGGATATTCTGGATCAGCACTGTCCAGTAGAACTTTCTGCAGTGATGAAAACAGTCCCTATCTGTGTTGTCCAGTATGTCAGCCACTTGCCATATATTGTTATATACCACCTGAAATATGGCTAGCAGAAGGAATTTTGCGTTTTAGTTAAATTTAAACACCCTCATGTGGCTAGTGCCGACCATACTGGACAGTGCAGTTCTAGATTATGGATCCCATATGGTCAGGATCTTATTACAGACTGAATTTGGTGAAAATAACAATGTTAGGTTAAGACTCTCAAATTCTTGGCATGTAAGTTATTGATTTGTAATGTATTCTGAGCTGGCATTTAAAATTACCTCATTTTTACAAGGATACAAGAGATTGAAGGAACAAATATATTTTAGATGTAGAGTTTATCTGTTGCAGGGTTTGGCATGTAGGCCAGGAACCAAGATTCCAGGAGTAAGAATGGCACACTTGGTGAAAGAGTGCTGTGCACTTGGATGCTGATTTACAAGTGACAGAGCCACTGTGTCCCACGTCTTTCTCCTTGCCTGTTTCTCTGGGTTTTCAGTTATCTATGTTTATTGGAAACAGTTATCACAGAGTTGAGTACCTTGAAGATCTCTTGTGGACATCCCCACTTCCTTCCCACATACTCACCAGTACCAGGGTCAGCTTCAGGTAGGAGGATGGCACAGACTCAAGGTCAAGCAGAGGTGTGAGCCACAGAAGCAGAGTAGCAGGCCAAGTTCCAGCATCCTGGCTGCCAGGACCACCGTGCAGGCTTAAGAAGCTGGAGCTTTAGGATATGGAGTGTCCATCACTTGGCATCTTTCTCATAGCCCAGGTGGCATCTGAGAATTAGGTTAGGGTTGATTTGGACCCTATGGTTTGGTAAATCATGTCCCTTGAATGTATACAAATGATGTCTGTTGATATTTAAAATATGTTTCTTTCTGTTTAATTGTAAAGGGGATCAGGAAGTCTTTTCTCCCACGAGTCTCAAATAATTTCATAGTTAGAATCTGGTAATTTCAGGCCAGCCTAGGGCTTTTCATGACTCTCACTTTTTAAGGCTGGTATCCTCATTTGCTGGATGAGTAGGGGTTCTGCTGATGGAGATAATGACACCAGGATACCCATGTGTTGAGTCCATCTTGCTGCCCCTTCCAAGCCCCCCAAACAACTGGAGTTCTGTATTCTGCTAGGGAATCTGTTATGTGGTGTAGCCTTCCTCTTAGACTTAATTCATTCACTTTTTTAGTGCTCTACATGTTTAGAATTTTCATAAGAACTGCATTTTACATTCAGTATAATGTAGTTGGGTAGTTAGAATAATATGTTCCAAGATCTCTGATTCATTTGTCACCCGCCTTGCAAACTCAGCTTTGGCTTGTTGTCCACATCCATCCCACTGCACACGGCAGTCTACCATTTGTAGTCCAATCCATGCCTTCTGGCTCCATTTCCTGACATCAGGAGGTTAAAGACTAACTTGTTTTCTCCTAGTCACAGCTCCACACCTAGGAACAGCTTTTTCACTTTTAAACAGTTTATCTCTGTTCCCCCTACCCCCTTTAAAAAGAAAGAAAAACACTAGGAATGAGTAATACTGATTTCTCAGTATTTGTTTGATTCTGTGGCATACTGTACACTTCAGCAGCAAAAGTAGATGGTTGAGTTATATTGCTAGTTCTTACTCAGTCTATAAACCTAATTCGTTTTATTTATGATGGGAGAAGGAGAATTTATGAATTCATTTTGTTAAGCAATTCTTGAGCCTTTGTAGTGTGCTATTATGATGGATACACTCCTGGTTTGAAGAAATACAGAGTCCCTGAGATCGTGAAGCACTTTTCAGCAAATACATTTTGTTGCAGTATGCATTTACCCATCTTGTTGAAGGGCATTTAAATGTTGTCCAAATGTCTTAAGTATTTCTTTTGAATAATCATTATTTTTAATTATAGTCTGGATTTCTCTTTCCTCTTTTGTGAAATAATCGTCTTCCTCCTTCCTTTTGGAAAAGTCAGTAATCTGGGTAATTTCTGCTAAAAAAAAGCTCTATTAAAACCAAGGGGTGATTGTAGTCCAGTTAATGAAGCAAAGCAAAAAAAGATGAGGCCAGGAATCATACGGAGTTAGTTTACTAATGAAGCAAGGTACTTTTAAAAGGTAAGGAAAAATAAAGGAGCCCCTTTCTTTTCTTTCGATCTGGTCATTACCTGGGATTTTCAGTTAAGTGAAATCATTAACTACTCATATGTGCCTCAACCTAAACACCAAACCCCAAAGACTATTTAATTATCATACTTTGGTTAATAAGATTACAGGAAGGTTATTAAATGAGTCTGTGGGACTTGCCTAGAAAAGATGAAATGCAAAATGAAATGTTTTCCTCTATTGGGAAGACCACTTGGCTTGTGTTCTTTTTAATGGTTGAGCGTAGTATCATTCTGTTTGGGAAGGGTGAGTGTGGGAAAATTATGTACAGTCCTCAGTATCCACAGGGAATTGGTTCTAGGACCCCCACGAGTACCAAAATCGTAGATGCTCAAGTTCCTTAGATAAAGTTAGTAGTTGTAAGTAACCTACCATCCTCCTACATACTTTTTGTATCATCTCTAGATTACTTATAATAACTAATACAATGTAAATGCTTTATGAATAGTTGTTGTACTTTGTTTTTTAATTTGTATTATTTTTACTGCTTTTCCTCCCCCAATTTTTTATCTGCTATTGGTGGAGTCTGCTGACACAGAACCCATGGGTAGGGAGGACCAACCGTACTCATTCTGTTCAAAACGTCTTGCTTAATTCGGTCTGTTTATTGTTACAGTGTGTAGGGTTTTGTACTTAAAAATCTCTTAAAAGGAGGATCAGGAGGGTTGTAGTGTTCTATTATTAAAATATTTTTAATAAAATTTTATGAGAAGTCTTCAGAAACTGTGACTGTGTAAAGGTTGAATTGTCTGACTACATCATTTGAGTCAGAGTCCTTTTTAAATATATGACCAGTTTTAAAAATACAGATTCTTCCCCATCTCTCCCGGGTAAGTAAATAAAAAATATGTCCACCATCCCCTGCTGCCTTTCGATCCGTGGTGGCAGGCGGGAGGTCTGCACACCAGGCTGCTCTCTCTGGTTTGCTGTGCAGCTGCACCTGTGTGCTGGTGAAATTTTAATTCAGTATTGTCTGAAGATTGTCAGCTTCTTTTTTTTTTTTTTTTTTTTCTCGAGACAGAGTCTCACTCTGTCGCCCTGGCTGGAGTGCAATGGCGCGATCTTGGCTCATTGCAACCTCCGCCTCCCAGATTCAAGCGATTCTCCTGCTTCAGCCTCCTGAGTAGCTGGGATTACAGGCACGCACCACCATGCCCAGCTAATTTTTGTATTTTTAGTAGAGACGGGGTTTCACCGTGTAGGTCAGGCTGGTCTCGAACTACTGACCTCGTGATCTGCCCACCTCGGCCTCCCACAGTGCTGGGATTACAGGCATGAGCCACCACGCCTGGCCACTTGTCCCCTTCTTAATTTAAACCACGACCAAAACAGAAATTTCTGGGTTTTGATAGGGAACTGGGCTGTGTACATATGTCCTGCAGCATCTGTTTGTATGATGGACGTCCTTATTGACTCATAGTGCATTTCTCTGGACATTGATATAAGGGAATTATTGTCCTTAAAATAATTTATTCTAATTTATAGTAAAATAAAAGTATATTTTCATTTGGTATTTAGTTTAATCAGTAAAAAATAATGTGAATAAACTTTGCTTTTGACAAAGTATTGGCCTTAAAAGTACTATTTTTCTTTATGTATTTATTTTGTTTATGTGTTTAGTTTGAATGGGTTTGGGTATACATTCCTTTGAGTCAGTTTTCATGGTGCAGTTATTTGCTAGAGTCTTAAAAATTCAAGCAACAATTTCACTACTAGTCTTTGTATTTCATTTTTATGTACTTAAAGGGCAGTTCTAAAGTGAGGGAGAACCCCAAATTACTCTCTGCAATAAAAAACAACTGGTAAACTAGAATATGATTCAGATAGAGGAAAGCCACAGGGTTTTAGAATTACAGGCACAAAGCACTTTACTGTATTTTTTTTAAGGCATGAAGTTAGATGATTTTGTTGAGTAAAGAAGCAGAATTATTCCCTGTGCATTTTATGAAATAGAGTCCTAGGAAGTGTTTTCCTCTCTAGTTAAGGGTGCCATTTAAAACAAACAAACAAAACCAATGCAAAGTGGTCCACCTTTCTACCTTTTTAAAAAGGAAAAATCGTTGTAAAATGGAACATTGATTCTAAATTTGAAGATTTATGTGTTCCCACAGAAAAGGAAAGAAATCACCCTCTTGGGAAACAAAGAAACAAACCCCAAACCTCTAACCCAAATCCCTGAGCTTTTGCGGAGACAGACACAGCTTACTCCAGAAAGAAGGGTGCAGCTCAGCATCCCTAAACACTCCCAGGTGCGTGCTCTGCGACAGAGTGCGCAGGACACGGAGCTGCTTAATGGAAACCAATCCTGCAACACTGTACGTTTAGTCAGCTTTCTCTGTCAGATAACAGGCCTCCGTGCAGACTGTTCAAATGATATTTTGAAAATATGGTGTTATTCCACACAACTTTGAGGTGTGTAATTTTGGAGAGTAAAATGAAATCACCGGTCAGGCTGTTAAGGAGGTGGGGAAATGCCAACTTTGCCTCTTCCGGGCAGTGCTGTGGTGATGCAGCCTTGGGCCCCGCCAGCAGCGGCTTGCTGGCTGGCGCGGGGTCCTCTCCCGGGTCCGCTGCGTTGCGCGGGCAGGACAGTCAGGTGAGCACAGGTGGCTCCGTTCACCTGATCTTCAGCCCTGTCTCCACTCAAGTGTCTTCTTGGTGGAAGCCTGGTGGTCCTTAGCAGTACTGGGAGTATTTGAAGACTAGGCCAGAAGGGCAGGGTCGCTGTGTGAGCTGCGCTTACCACCTGTTGAATGTGAAATTGATACAGAGGTGGGATGTGCTGGTTGTTTCTTGAAGTACAAATAAATGGGCACACGGGGCTGGGAGCAACTCGTGTCTGATCTTGTTTATGATTAGTGTTTTGTTTACTGAGGAATGTATTTTTAAAAAGAAAATTTGTATTCTTTGTATTTCAAAATAAACATAATGTTGGGGTGGGGAGCAGCCTGCCACTTCTAATCTCTTCTAAGTCAATTTCACCATAACACTGACCCTATTTTTACTAGGGTCAGTAAATGGACTGATTTCTCTGATAGAATAATTTTACATATACACAAATACTCTTAAAAATACTATAGAAAGGCCGGGCGCGGTGGCTCACACCTGTAATCCTAGCACTTTGGGAGGCCGAGGTGGGTGGATCACGAGGTCAGGAGATCGAGACCATCCTGGCTAACACGGTGAAACCTCGTCTCTACTAAAAATACAAAAAATTAGCCGGGCGTGGTGGCGGGCGCCTGCAGTCCCAGCTACTCGGAAGGCTGAGGCAGGAGAATGGCGTGAACCCGGCGGGCGGAGCTTGCAGTGAGCTGAGATCACGCCACTGCACTCCAGCCTGGGCGACAGGGCGAGGCTCTGTCTCAAAAAAAACTATAGAAAGGTAAATGATAATTCAGCAATATTTTCCTCTTTTGCCTGTAATGTCTTTAAACAGTTATTTCTAAAAAGCTGTGTTATAAAATTTTATTTTTTAATTTTAGAAAAAGTTTTCCAGATGTCTGTGCCTGTGTCTATTTCTTTTCTCTTTTGGGGCGTGGTGGGGACGTGGAGGGAGACAAGGTCTGGCTGTGCCACCCAGGCTGGAGTGCGGTAGCACAATCACAGCTTAATCACAGCACAATCACAGCTCACCGCTTCCCGGGCTAAAGCGATCCTCCAACTTCAGCCCCCCAAGTAGCTGGGACTACAGGCAGGCACCACCACCCCCGGCTAATTTTTTTGTATTTTTAGTAGAGATGGATCTTCCCATGTTGCCAGTCTGCTCTTAAACTCCCACGCTCAAGAGATCCGCCCGCCTTGGCTTTTCAAAGTGTGGGGATTACAGGTGTGAGCCATCACACCTGGCCGATTTCTTTCTTTCTTTTTGAGATGGAGTCTCACGCTGTCGCCAGGCTGGAGTGCAGTGGCACGATCTCGGCTCACTGCAACCTCTGCCTCCTGGGTTCAAGCAATTCACCTGCCTCAGCCTCCCAGTAGCTGGGACTACAGGCGTGCGCCACCACGGCCAGCTATTTTTTTTTTATGTTAGTAGAGACGGGGTTTCACCATTTTGGCCAGGATGATCGCTATCTCCTGACCTCGTGATCCACCCACCTCGGCCCTCACAAGGTGCTGGGATTACAGGTGTGAGCCACCGCGCCCGGCCTCAATTTCTTTAGAAGTATTATGTAGTTAGTTATAGTTTATTTTGGTAGGTTCTGTTTGTTTTAGAGGGCTTAAAAGTCACTCTGTTTTGCCTGCACCGACTGTGTTTGTGTTGCATTTTTGCATCAAGTAATGAATTTAGATTTAGATTAGGGAGTAACAAAGAAGTCTGTTCAGTGATGTTAAGTTTTCTCTTTCTAAAAATCGCTCTACTGGTTATCCTAATCACATAGTTAATATTTTCATTATAAAGTTGAGAAGATTACTATTTTCTCTTTCTTTCTCTGTGTGTATTCGTGGATAATTTCTTTTAGAAGAACAGTCGTATTCTATGTACTGTTTTTATTATCTACTTGGAAATTGTAATTTCTTGTCAAATACAGTTAGTTGCGTAGGTCATTTTAAATGATTGCATAGTATTCATATGGAATAAGCCTGTTTAAGAAAATATTAAAGAATCTAAATAGACTGTGTAACTAAGTGTTGCTTAATTTAGTTGTCTTTTTTGTTATATTAATCTTTAGTGTTCAGAATGATACTTAAGCGTTTAAAAAATTCTAAGTAGTATTTATGAAAATGGATCAAATGCTACATAAAATCAAAACCATGGAAGAGTTTGTTTGTTTTGTAATCAAATAAATCTCCTGAAACCAAAACAAACTTCTCCTCTCAGTATATTTATTTGAAATTCTTCTTGTTTACAGAAATTGTGTAATATTTATCTTGCACAACAGAAATTTTAAATGTGCTTATGAGGTAGCAGTCCGAGAGGCAGGACATACAATAATCTCTAGCATGAACTATGCCCACGTGGCTTAAGTTTGGATTCTGGAAACGGTTTTCTGTTCCCTTTTCTTTAGTATGAATATGTGCTTGCCAATTGTGGAAAGGAGCTGATTAATCGCACTTGAAGGAGAAATTCTTCTCCACTGCTCGTTTGTTTCAGTTTCAGAATCTCTCTGTCACCCTTGGAAGCAGTCACAAGGATTCTGCCCCTTGGCCTGCAGTTGTGGGGGATGTTGTCCCCAGCCTTCCCCAAAGCCTGTCATCATGGACTCAGCTGCATGCCTTATTAACTCATCTTGCAACCTTTGGCTTGTCAAGACGATGAGCTGTCAAAGCTCGCAGTGACATCAGTAGTATGTGACTTGAATGGATATACCACATATGCTGAATCAGCTCTTTTTCATTCTCTTTGACATCAGAAAAGCAGGTGCTAAGTCTCATTTTGAAAATTTATTGGTATCTGTTGCAGACACTTTAGAGACCACTCTGTTTATCAGACTAATAGCCAAAGGGAAGCTAATAGAGTGTTTTGGCATTTAAAGCCTAAAATTCTGCTAATTTCTTCTGGAAAAAAAGTCCCGTCATCCCTCATGTGCTGTGAGACCACAGAAAGGCTAATTTAATATTCTATGTAGGGAAAATCAGGATAGGATTATTTGAGAAATTTGTGGTTTTAAATTCTTTTATGATGGCGTAATTTTATGCGTATACTCAAGGCCATAGAATGTTATGTATGTGTATAAAAGTTGAAAGTTTGGAATCATTGATTTTACAAAAAAGAATATAGATTTTAAAACCATCTTTTTTTGACAGCTTAACCTCAGTTGAAGTATGGATTCTCTTAATGGAAAAAATTTATTTTCATTAATATTTTAGCATGATTTAACACTAAGGTTATTATATAAGTCTTATATATGTGATCTGTAAAGGTTTTGTTTGAGATATTTGGGGGAGAATCAGCCTTGGTTCTTTTCTATTTTAGCTTGTAGGAAATGAAAAATATATAAACAGTCCAAGTATCAATGTAGATGAGGTGCTAAATAAATTGTAATGAGCACCAGAGGACATAAGAATGTGTTAATCTCAAAGCCGCATGATGGTTTTTGTGTTGTGAAAGGTTAGCTTTTCAATTGTAAGACTTAATTACCTTTCAAATGAATATTTCATAGAGTTACTTTGTCATTGAATATACAGCTACATAAGTATTCTCTTCCCTATGTCCTGTATGTTGTTTATCAGTAGTTTGAAATTTAGTTATTTCCTCTACTTTTCTTTTGCATAGAGCAGCTGGGATCAAGAGTTTCTTATTTTTATTTTTTAAACACAGTTTTTTAAAGCTTCAAAGGAATAACATAATTCTGCAGTGCTTTCCCTGTCATTACTTTGTTGATGCCTATCTGGAATGTGGTTGCACAGTTTATTTCATTTTCTAAATTTTCTAGGCTTGCCCAGGGTTTTCCACCCTTCATGAAGGCACCTGTCTTCCTCCAGATGTGCCCGTTGTTCTGAAGCAGCTCTTTCTTGCTCAGTCTTCTCCACTTTATCCTTAAAAAGTATGGAAAATGGGTGTCACTTAAGAAAAGTCACTGTTTGTTATTCGATGACTGCTCTGCCTAGTTTAGTAGGCGTTAACTGAATAAACTAAGTCTGCACTTAATCCGTGAATGTGTATTAATAGTTGTAGAAAGAGTAGATTAAACACATATTAAGTTTCAAATAAAAACCTAGTGGTTTCAATTTAGGGAAAAATTTGTTATAATACAAATATGTACAACCATTAGTAGCCTCTTTTTCCAGCTCTTTTATATTTAATGTGGTTTTGAAATTTTGGAACCTAATGGAGAATTGTAGTTTGCTAATTATTTTGGGGGGCAGTTTGTGAACAATAAGATTTTTTTATTGTTAGCTCGATTGTCCAAAAGTCGTATTTAAATATACACTTGTACTTTATTGCAGACTATGAAAAAATTTATTAATCATTAATAAATTCTGAGACTTTTCAGATTAGACTTCTGAAATTTTGTCTTTAAGTTGTGGGCAGTGTATACTTGTTTTAATTACTAAGATGTATTATTTGTGTATTTACATACCTGCTTTGCTTTTATTTTCTTTTAATGAAGTACCAGCACAACCACATGAGATCTCTGGCCTCATCACAGGGACCACAAGTTCTCATAGAGAGCTAAGATATGTAGGATGTTTTGCCTATTTTCTTTTCAATAAGTGGGACTGGCCTTTATCTGTATGTACTGCTAATTTATCATTCAACAAGACAGGCCCACAGCCAAACAAATTCTGATTAACCATTTCTTGCTTAACTTGAAATTTACATTAAATTCCTATAAGTGTGCAGATAATACTTCAATGGTATATCGCAGTCCTCATATATAAGATTTAAGAAGGCATACTTTAAATTTTTGTTTATTTTCTCGTTTTGGTAGTGTAAATGCTTAGAACCAGCATTTCAATTTAAGGGAAAATCACTACAATACAGACATAAATAACTTTTCTTTTCTTTTCTTTTTTTTTTTTTTTTTTTTTTTTGAGACAGAGGTTTACCCTTGTTGCCCAGGCTGGAGTGCAGTGGTGCGATCTTGGCTCACTGCAACCTCCGCCTCCCGGGTTCAAGTGATTCTCCTGCTTCAGCCACCCAAGTAGGTGGTATTACAGGCACCTGCTACCACGTCCGGCTAATTTTCTGTATTTTTAATAGAGATCGGGTTTCTTCATGTTGGCCACGCTGGTCTGGAACTCCTGACCTCAGGTGATCCACCCGCCTCGTGCTCCCAAAGTGTAGGGATTACAGGCATGAGCCACTGCGCCTGGCCATAAATAACTTTGTTTTTTTGCTTTGAGACGGAGTCTCGCTCTGTCGCTAGGCTGGAGTGCAGTGGCGCGATCTCGGCTCACTGCATCCTCCGCCTTTCGGGTTCAAGCGTTTCTCCTGCCTTAGCCTCTCGAGTTGCTGGGATTACAGGCATGTGCCACCATGCTTGGCTAATTTTATATTTTTAGTAGAGATGGGGTTTCTCCGTGTTGGTCAGGCTGGTCTCGAACTCCTGACCTCAGGTGATCCACCTGCCTCAGCCTCCCAAAGTGCTGGGATTACAGGCATGAGCCACCATGTCCTGCTATAAATAACTTTTAATAGGCTCTTTTTCTGGCTTTTTCTTTTAGTAACTCAGCCCATTTTCTTCTTCTCAATCTGGTCTTTGTTAATGTTGATAACGCTGTCTTACTTTTAAATTGCCGTGATTAGAAATTACTAGAGATATATAAACCTAGTCTTTTGGGGGATTTTGAAAGGGTCATAGTATTCTTACTGTCTTTCAAAATGTACCTTATATTTGAACATTGGAAGATACGTGTTGCTGAATACAAGTTAGTTTCATACACACACATACACATGGCCACATACATACACATATCCACACATACAAATTCACATGCAGTCTTTTCAGATAAAAATATTTAGCGATATTAAGACACAAATCACCATAGGAAATGTCATTAAATAGATATGAAAAAGTCATGAAGATAAATTAGCTGTCACCAATGAAGTTAATGATTAATTTGGAAATGGGTTTTTTTCCTCCTGATGCTTTTGTCTTTTGACTGATTTTCAATGCTCTGTAAATGATGAGTGAGAGAAGAGGAGGAGGGAGAGAATGTGTGTATGTTTGTACATTTGGTACGTAAGATTTGTTTCAGTGCTTTTAAGACAGAAGAATATTAATTTGCCCTATATATTCAATTTGAAATAAAAATTTCCAATCTGTTATGGTTTACCTTATATATTATATTCATTGTTATTATCATGAAAATTTAAGCTTTAGACTTTTCTGAATGTATTTAAAGTTATTTGATCTTATTAATGAGGTCAAATTATTATTTTTTATAACGTAGACTTATATTTGAAACATAGATGCTGTATGAACCTCCTTTTGGGGGTTTCTGTGTATATTGAAATTGGTGATAAGATTTGCAAGGAACTTTGGTTCATTCAGTAGGGAGCCCAGTTTTAAATTTTACTTTTCTTTCAGTTAAGTGAATTTTTGTCATTGATATATGCAAAGTTCAGATTTGTGTAGACTTTCGGGGTACTGAATTTGTTTCCTGTTCATTCAGTCCTAGGAAGGAATGTCCTTTTCTCCTCTTAGGTCACACGTGACCTTTCCCGGTCCCTGTCTGCAGTCTCTTTCCTGCAGGGAGCTGTCTCCCCTTCATGTAGCCACTGTCCTTGAGCTTTAACCAAGCATCTGTAAGCACCTCACCTGGACTCTTAACGCCTCACCTGGGAAATGATTATTGTAAACTGTTGTTTTGGTAATACTGTTTGGTAGCCAGCATTTTAATTTTAGTCTATTGTAAATTGACACAAATATTTGAATATTTTGTTCATTTTGCCATTTTACAAAAAATGAGAAAGGGGAAATTGAGAGGAACAATATTAGTGATGAAAATATCTATATCTGAAAAATGTAATGTAAAGATATGAAACACTTGGGGAAGATGAATGCAGAAAATCTTTAGTCTGAAATTGACTATTCATTACCCCTTAGCAAGAAAGTAAATCCCCATTGAGCATTATGTTTTAGAATGGAAAATGTAAATTAAGCCTTTGTTTTCCATCATCATTCTCATCGTCTTTTTCATGCTCTCTGGTGGCAGAACCCCACCCAGCTCCCACTGATTTCAGCTTTTGCTCTTTGGTTCTGTACATGCTTTTAGAAATACCCATATGTGAATGGAGTATCACCCGGAGTCTCGACATGCTCATCACCTTCAGTGGTTATAGGATTGTAGTCTGCTGGGGTTAGTTGGATCTGGGTTTGAATTCTGGTGCCACCACTTCTAGCTCTGTCACCTGAGCAATTCATTTGACTTTTCTGTTTGTTTTGCTGGAAATGGGAGTCAAGGCTCCTTCCTCACAGGGTCATTGTCAGGATCACCAGAGATCATGTACTACAGTGCCTCAGTGAATGGTGGTGATTTTTGTTGTGAATGGTTACTCTGGCTTGAGGTTGTGTGCTAGCTGCTTGGAGTGAAGGGCGCAAGCCCCTGGGAGCAGGTCTCTTCTGTGAGTGGAGCCCAGGTGGAGAGGTGGCCCCAGGGAGGTGCTCCACATGCGCACAGTTGCACTGTTGAAAAGGATGGCTCACTTCCAGTACAATGGGTTCTGTTCATGGGTTGAAACTTTCAGAGGCTGAGGATTTAACTTCAATTTACTATATTTCTGGCAAATGCATTCCAGGTTCCAAACAATGTGACCTTGCAATGGACTTGAGTAGCATAACTTATTTATAAATTATTACCTCAGTGGACACTGAGTAAAGACATATCTTGCTGTTTATGTCTCAGGAGATTTGTGTTTGTGTGTATGTGTCGACAAAGTTCTCCAGAAAATATTCCATATGAATGCAAATCGCAGTTCAAAATCAGTCTGTTAGTCTGGGCTTAACTTGTACCCCTTTCAGCCCCAGGATCGGTGGTGGTGGTTCCCTGTTCAGCCGTGTTGCATTTGTACTGCAGGCTCTCCCCATGAGTGCTGGTATCTGTCTTAAGACAACCAGCTAGAGGAAGGAGTGCAGTCTGGGTTCAGAACACACAGCAGAACTCACTGTTTAAGCTACTGAACACATGGTAGACATGGCGAGCCACATTTATTTGCATTTACTGAAAAGAGATGTCACAAAAACATTTAAAACCTTCTAATACAAGAATTACTGTACATCTAATATCTGTAGTTACCCAAGAGCCAAGCTACTTAACCACTTTCAACCTTATTCCAATGGTACTAGCTTATAACTGTTAATCTAGAACTCTAGATGTTAGACTTGATTCATACGAGCTTTATATGGCCAGGGGAACTTAGACTCTGGAACACTTATTAAAATAGAAGTTTAAAAGCATACTTCAGTATTACATCCCAATTTTCTAAAGAGAAGACACTGTCTAGTAACTTAGAAGGCTCAATAATTTCAATTTGTTTTCTTCTGTCTTGTTTATTTCTTATTATATAATGCTTTTTTTTTTTTTTTTTGCATTGACTGGTATCAGGTAAACCAGCACTAGATTAAAGCAATTCAGACTTGAAAATTAATGTTTACCTTTTCTGTGTCAATTAGTGAACTGTAGAATGTAGAATTTGTATTTAATTATTAAGAATAAAAGCTTTGACTTTGTTTTTTTTGTGTGTTTTGTTTGTTGTTTTGTTTTGTTTTGTTTTTTGAGATGGAGTCTCACTCTGTTGCCCAGGCTGGAAGTGCAATGGCATGATCTTGGCTCACTGCAACCTGTGCCTCCTGGGTTCAAGCAATTCTCCTGCCTCAGCCTCCTGAGTAGCTGGGATTACAGGCGCCCACCACCATACCCGGCTAATTTTTTGTATTTTTTAGTAGAGATGGAGTTTCACCATGTTTACCAGGCTAGTCTTGAACTCCTGACCTCAAGTGATCCACCTGCCTCGGCCTCCCAAAGTGCTGGGATTACAGGCATGAGCCACCTTGCCCAGCCAAGCTTTGACTTTTTAAATAAAAAATTTTTAATCAAAAATTGCTTTTGATTTTTGTCTTTTAAAAACAGTTTGGCATTTCACTCTCTTCTGTCACACTTGAAATGTGCTTTAACTATTTAACCAAGATTACTGAGTCTGCTATGATGTTGCAAATTTTGGAACATTAAAAACAATTTGTTCAAAACTATTTTATTCCTATTTCATTAATACTGCCAAATTTTTATGATTAGTAAACAACACTCAAAAGAGATAATTCTTTTAGGTTATAGAGCAACTGTCTGTGGGTCATTGGAAAAGGAATGCTTCAGTGCCCAGCCTTCCTTCTGCATTGCTGTCCCAATCTCTTACCTGCTCTGCACTCACTGCTGGGCTGGAGCAGGTGACTGCCTTTTGCCCTCTGAATGACAGCAGCTGATGTTTGTGGTTGGAGAGGGGGCCCATCTTATGCTGGACTCAGTTCTCTCTCAGCCTAGCTTTGCCAACCCTGGATCTCTAGCAGGGAAGCAGAATTCTCCCCAGTGTGCTGTTTGCGTGAAAGTATAGGTCTGATCTTCTTTGGGTCCTATTTTACCCTCTGCTGCCAGCTTCTGCAGCCGGTGGAGCCCTGATGCTAGTCACCCAAAGAAATGACAGGTTTACTGCTGTGTCCTCATTCATCTTCATCCTTCTTGAAGTTCACAGTTGATGAAATTTTTGGAAAATTCTTTATAATTAAGAGTAATTACCAGGGAATTAAAACTGAAGGGTTTTTGTAGATTTGGGGCTTTGGATTCTAAAAGACATGAATTCATACATTCTTGTTTCTGCTTTTACTTTCCTTGTGGTCTTGGAAAAAATATGTTCTTTTAAATTGCAGCGTTATCTGTAAAATGAGCCTGCTTTCCTTATTGATAGACAGATTACATGAACCAATTGAACAAAGAGCTCAGCATAGTGCCTTAATCAATTTAGTCCCATGTTCTTCAGCCTCAAGTTATTTATCTTTAAAATGGGCATAATAACATATAACATTATGTAACAGAGATGTTGAAAGAACTTTGTGTGTGCACGCACCTGTGTGTGTATGCAGAGAAAATATCCTAACTAGATACATTAGACAACTGTGGATGGGCTTGGGAGTGTGTTCCTTTACTATTGCTATACTCATTTGGAGGCTTAAAACAACATCTGTGTATTATTTCATAGTTTCTATGGCTCAGGAATCTGGGCAGGCATACTGAATTCTCTGCCCAGAATCTCCTAAGGCTGATATCGGGGTGTCAGCCGGGGCTGTGATCTCATCTAGGGCTTGTGGGGGTTCCTCTTCCAAGCTCCTGTGGTTGCTGGCATAATTCATTTCCTTGCAGCTGTGGAGCTCATGGCACCTTGCTTCCTCAAGGCCAGCCAGAGAGTCTCTCTGATCCCTCTTTAAGGAGCTCTCCTGCTTAGAACGGGCCTACCCACGATAATTTCCTTTTCGATTAACTAATTAGGGGCCTTAATTATATCCTCAGAGTCCCTTGACCTTTGCTGTATAACATGGTTTAATGGTAGGATTGCTATCCCAACACATTTACGGGTCCTTCCTGCACTTGAGGCTCGAGCGCCCTAGTGTTTGTACCCAGAGCCAGGAATCCTGGGGGACATCACAGAATTCTGCCTACACACAGAGTGAGCATGGGCTGGGAAGGACATAGGTTTCTTAGTTCATATAGTTCTGTATTTAAACTTTTTAAAAATGGTATAATACATAAAGGTTAAAATAGTTCTTTTTATTTTACTTGGTATGAGATTCCCCCAGAATTCTCAAATGAAAATTACAAGACATAATTCTGGAAGGAATTTTAGTTAATGTATACTTAGTCACAATAGTCGTTCTCAAACAGTGTCAGGAGTGGACAATCAGAAATAAAGCAAATGGTCTAGGCTTGTGACCTTATTTAGCTGTGGGGCAGGGATTGGGGCCAGCCAAAGGCCCAGGGGTGTCCAGTGGTTGCATGGTGGCACCTGTGCTGAGGGCTGGACGAGCTGTCCACTTTATCCCTTCCCCTGTGCCCACAGCTTTTGCTTTTCTGAGTGTAAAATTGCACAGATCTACTTTATTAAGAATATTTATTTTAATTGGATTGTGTCACGTTGATGAAGGATTTTTCTTTAGTTACCAGTGGAAGATGAACATTTAGTAAGCATGTGAACATAAATTTGGATAGCATGGTTTGAAATCAGAACCATAAGCACGTAATGCTTTTCCATTATTATTGATTAAAATAGGAGGCTTCGTTTCTGTCTCACCTTTTCAGTTAAACCCTCATTCTCCCCTTGGTAATATGTGGGATTCAGGTGTCAGTCTTTTCCAGCCAGAGAGACCTGCAGGACTTAGAAATCAGACTGATTACAGTTCTGATGTTCCTCTTTAAAACAAGCCATGTGCTAACAAACCAACCACCAAAAAGGTGGTCACTTTTTAGAATTTTGCTTAAAATTTTCCAGTAAAAAGACATTTTAAACTTTCAGTTTCTTTGTATTTTGATTTTATTGAAAGAAATAAAGTTAAAAAGTCATTTCAAGTGATACTTTGGTTGGTATCTGTTAATAGTGCTGTTGAGGATAGTTAACACATGGTAGTTTAGTATGTTTCTCATTGTATTATATAAAACCATATATAGTAGTTTACAGAGTATAGACTATGTATAACAGACTAATAGTCTCACATCATATAAGCAAAAGCCTAAGACTTTGTGCCGTGCAGTACAGTAGGCACTAGCTACTTGTGGGTATTGTGCACTCAAAAACTGGCTAGTAATTAAGGGACTGAATTGTACATTTATTTTATTTTAACAAATTTTAGAAATCTAAATAGCTACATGTGGCAGTCATGTTGGCTCATATTGGACAGCACAGATTATAGAACCTTTTTTTTTATTTTTTGGTAACAGCGAGTTCTTTAGAACTGTGCTGGTGTACGCATACGTAGTTTATAAGTTCCTATCATGAAGCAGTAACTGTTAATAAATGATCTTTGACAGCCCTTCTGATTCTCAAATTCTGTGCCATATCGTTTGCTATAAATTACTTTTTAATGCATTTTAATAGCATATGTAGGGTTATTTTACTTGTGAGTTTCTAAGCTGCTCATCTTCTGCATGTCTTTTACTGCTATGCAATGAAAAACATTTTTGGTTATTGGTTTAAACAGAACTTAGTTTTTAAGCATCACAGAATTTCCATATCAGATGGGAGTTGGAGGCAAATGAAATAAATAAAAGAAAATTCTATATTAGTTTACTTTTTAGCCCTCCAAATCCTTCCTGCTCTCAGGAGAACTGAGACTTGATTTGTTTGTCTTGAAAGATGGAACCACAGGCAACGCCCCCACTGTGTCCCTGCCCCCACTTATTTTTGGTTCAGTTTGACTTACCAATTTATTTCAATATTTACCGAATTTATTTAAAAATTTCCTCAAAGACATTTATTGGCATATATCATTCTGATTGTGGTTTTTCCTTCTTCAAAACCTCTTGATTGTTCAGGTTAGATTTTATGTGACCTGAATAGAAGTTCTCTCTTTGTCTGAAAACTTTTTCCTTGTGGAATGGTTTTCTACAACATTTTGCTAGGCTAATTTAGGTGTGATTTCCCAAAGGGCATCTGACTTGAAAACATTATTCATTCAGGTCTGACAATGCCCAGGATTTTAGGAGAGAGAAAGAGAGAGACTAGGGAAGAAATGAAGTGAAAACTGTAGTTTAGTTTTGGATTTTGAGTTTTTACTATTTATATTTCATTTATATCTGTGTACATTTTATTTTTTTAATAGCCTGAATAAAGATGTGCAATTTAAACAAGTTCAGATTGCCTACAGTTCAGGATTTTTAAAACACGTAGATTATTTTGGGAGCTTTATCTTTATAAACCTTGTAATAACAAAACCACGTGAGTACCAGAATCATTTCTCTTACTTAGTTTCTTGCAAGGGAAGCATTATTGACTCTTCTTTTTGCAGCAAACCAACATTTAAAACACATTGAATGATAAATAAGAAATAATCTTGTTTGGTTAATGTACCTGAAAAGCCAATTGTGTAGAGGTAAAGAGGAAACTGTTGTAATTTTGTTTAAGATTGGAGAAGAAGAGAAAGGTTAAATTGTTCCTTGAAAACATAACGCAGAACCAAAAACCCCCACATGTACTCTCTGACATCTTCTTCACACAAGACATATTTTATATTAATGAAATTCAGATAATTAAAAATCCAAGTGTAGGCATAGAAAAATCTTTACTTTTTCTTAGATACTGGCAGAGTTGTTTTAACTCAGTGAGAAGCATCACATGGAACAATAGAATTTATTAGCTGTTTGTTAAATTGTTTTAGCTGCTACTAAAATATATGCTTTCACTTATCAGAACTTACTTTCAAGTTCCATTACATCCTTCACATGCAGTATATGAACTTTACAGCAGCACACACTGTCTCTCCCTTCTCTGCCTTTTTGCTGTTGTTGTCATACATTCAGTATCTCAATATTTTATAAACACCACTACACATATTTATTTTATCTACCATTTGATGGCCATTTGGGTTCTTTCCACTTTTCAGCTATTTTGAATAGTTCTGCCAGGAACAGTCATGTGTAGGTCTTTCTGTAGACATATTTTCAGTTCTCTTCAGTAGATACTTAGAAGTGGAATCTGCTGGGGGTGTGTGATTTTTGTGTAACATTTGAAGAAACTGCCACACTGTTTTCCAAATGACTGAACCATTTTACATTCTTATAAGCGGTGTTCCTCTCCACACCTCACCAGCACTTATCTTTTGTCTTTTGCATCGTGGCCATTTTTGTGGATGTGACTGGGGTTTTAATTTGCATTTTCCTAGTAATCAATGATGTGCATCTTTTAATGTGTGCATTGGCCATTTATACACCCTTTTTGGTGAAATGTCTATTCAAATATTTTGCCCATTTTAAAATTGGAGGAGTTTTGTCTTGAGTTTTAAGGGTTCTTTATATATCATGGATATGCATCTTTTATCATATATATGATTTGCAGATATTTTCTCACAGGCTGTGGTTTATCTTTTCACTTGCTTAAAAGGTGTCTTTTGAAGCAAAAAAATACCTTTAATTTTGCTGAAGTCCAACTTTACCATTTTTAAAAATCACTTGTGCTTTTGGTGCGAAACTGCCTCATTTTCAAAAGACATTTTTTTCCACCGGATATAGAATTTTAGTTTGACTGTATTTTTTTTTTCTTTTTTTTTTTTTTTTTCAGTTCCTTAAAGATACTGGTCCACTGTCTTCTGGCTTTCATTGTTTTGGCAAGAAGTCTTTTTAATTTTATTGTTCTTGATGTAATGTGTTTTTTTCTGACTCCTTTTAAGATTTTTCTCCTCTTCCCCCCATCTTTCCATGCCACCACAGTGGTGCATGTCACGAGCGTCCATGTGAAGAGACCACCAGGCAAGCTTTACGTGAACAGTAAAGCTTTTTTATTTCACCTGGGTGCAGGCGGGCTGAGTCCGAAGAGTCAGCAAAGGGTGATGGGATTATCATTAGTTCTTATAGGTTTGTGATAGGCGGTGGAGTTGGGAGCAGTTTTTTTGTGGGCAGGGGGAGGATCTTACAAAGTACCTTCTCAAGGGTGGAGCGGGTGTATCGTACAAAGTACATTCACAAGGACGGGGGAATATCATAAAGTACATAAGCGCAAGGGCTGGGAGGGGGTGTATTGTCACAAAGTCAATTGATCAGTCAGGGTGGGGCAGGAACAAATCACAATGGTGGAATGGCATCAGTTAAGGCAGGAACTGGCTATTTTCACTTTTGTGAATCTTCAGTTGCTTCAGGCCATCTGGATGTATATGTGCAGGTCACAGGGGATATGACGGCTTAACTTGGGCTCAGAGGCCTGACAGTGCACACGGATGTCCTGGCTGACATTCTCAAGAGCATCAACAATGCCGAAAAGAGGCAAACGCTAGGTGCTTTTTAAGCTGTGCTCCAAGGTCATTGCCCGTTTCTCACTGTGATGATGCAGCACGGATTATGCGGGGTGGAGTTGGGGGGACTTCCTGGGCCGGGGGACTTTTGCAAGAGACCCCGGTGACTCAGGATTTTGAGTTCTTAACCAGTCGAGTGAAGGATTCAAAATTAACCACTCCAAGGGAGGATTGAAAAAAGAACCACTCTCAGTGGACAAAAAGAAAGAAAGGGGAGAGGGTAACACAGGGATATAAGCCCTAGTCACCCGAGCCAGCAACGGCAACCCTTCTGGGTCCCCTTCCACCACGTGGAAGCTTTCCTTTCACTTTGTTCAGTAAACTGCGCTGCTGCTCACTCTCCTGGTCCGTGGACTCTTTTTAAGCTGTAACACTCACCGTGAAGGTCCGCAGCTTCATTCATCAAAGTTAGCGAGACCACAAACCCATCGGCAGGAAAAACTCCTAACTCAGTTACATTGGCAAATTTGAAATCATTGATGATCACAGAGCTGGGAAAATTGTTGTGAACCTCACAGGCGGGCTAAACAAGTGTGGAGTGATCAGCCTCAGATTTGATGTGCAACTCAAAGATCTAGAAAAATGGCAGAATAATCTGCTTCCATCCTGCCAGTTTGGTTTCATTGCACTGACAACCTCGGCTGGCATCATGGACCATAAGGAAGCAAGATGAAAACACACAGCAGGGAAAATCCTGGAATTCTTTTTCTAGGGATGTAATACATATTTACAAAAAAAAAAAAAAAAAGATTTTTCTCTCTCCTTGGTTTTAAGAAATTTAATTATGATGGGACTGGTGTGGTTTTCTTTGTGTGTCTTTTGGTTGTGTTTTATTGACTTTCATATCTGTAGATTTACAGTTTTTATCAAATTTGGAAAAAATTCAAGTCAGTTTTTTTCTTCAGATATTTATCCTGTCTCCTCTTTTTTTTTTTTTTTAAACAGCAGCTCTAACTAAATATATATATTAGACCTACCCTGAAGTCTCTTTCTCTTTGTGTTTTATTTTTCCTTTGTGGGCTGTGTCTTCAATTTCAGGCTTATTCGTTTTCATTTAAAAATTACCATTAAATCTATCCAGTGAAAAAGTGAAAATGTATTTTTTACATGCATCATTAAAGTTTATAGCTTTAGAAGTTCAATTTGGGTTATTTGATTTGGTTTCCATATCTCTACCTTAAGATGCACATTTTTTCTATATTTTTTGAACATGTGGAATATAGTTACACTAATTTAATATTGTTGACTTTCAGTTCCATTGTCTTTGTTGTTCTGTGTACATTTCAATTGACTGATTTTTCTCTTCATTTGGGGTCTTTTGTTTTTGTTTGCTTTTGTTTTTGTTTGCTTCTTTGCTTTCTGGTAATTTTTATTGTGTGCCAGACATTGTGAATTTTACCTTGTTGATGACTGGGTATCTTTCTTTTTATTCCTATAAACATCCTTGAACTTTAGTCTGGGACCCAGGCATATTACTTGGAAACAGCTTGATCCTTTTGGGTCTTACTTTAAGCTTTGGGAGGTGGGACAGGGTAAGCAGGGTCTGCACTGATTCTGCCCACTTTTCGGGCAGATTCCTCCCAAGGGCTCTGCGTGGTTTTCCCTCTCTGGCGGGTGGGAGCAGGAACTCTTCTGTGTGAGCCCTGAGGATTCTTCTTCTAATCCTTTTGGGTGCTTCTTTCCCCATCCTCACGTGGTTTCTTCACACACACAGGCTGAACGTGACTCTGCCGAGTATGGGAGGGAAGACTGCCAATACCAGGAGCGTTCTTGTTGGGTGGCTTTCCCTGTCTCTTACGCTTCCCTGAAAACACCATCCTCTTATTGACCTCTGATTCCCAGCTCCATTTCCAGACTCTGCCTGGTTTCTGCTCCCAGCACCTTGGCCTGGAAATGTGTTCCAGGCAGTTTGCTGGGGCAGTCAGAGGGTTCACCTGGTTTGTTTCCCATCTCTCAGGGACCAAGATCCTTGTTGATGGTCAGTGTTTTGAAAATGATTGCACCACAGATCTTGTCCAGATTTTTATTTCTATTTTTTAAGGGGGAAATAAATGCAGTCCCTGTGACAGGAATGAATATTAGGAGAATAGAATCTAACAAAAGGGAAACAGGATTTTGATTTCTTCATAGCTGTTATGGACAGAATTTGTGTATCTTCCTTGAGTTTTGTTGAATAAACATATGGAAGTCCCTTTATACAGTGTAGAATCCATCTCATCACCATGAAAACCTTTGTTCTTGTGTGATATAAATTATTAGAGACTGTTTTGTGTCGTTATACAGAAGTTATTTTTAGTATGTTGTTTTGTTAGGTGGGTCTTTACTTAAAATCTCATTTAGTTTCATGGTAGAGTATCTTTGTTAGTATGATTCAAAAGAGAATATAATTTGGGGTTTTATTAGTGTAAAAAGAATTACCATAAACTTTACTTTCCAGTAGACTATATTTAAATGTGATATATTACTTTTTCTAGCCACATACTCTTTTAGCCTTCAATATAGCAGAATCAAAGTATGTTATTCCATTTGTTCCAAATTTCTCTCCATTTTCTATCCAGATGGCTGCTGACTCAAATGTATATGATAATACATTTACATTTTTTCAGTTAAGGCTGATAAATCCATTTTAATGCTATTGAATTGCTTAATGAATAAAAGATTTAAATGTGTCGTCAGTGCTTATGTTTCTGTAAAGTGAAGTATCCTGAAAGCGCTAGTAGTGCTGATAAAGTTTCCAGATTGTGATTTAAGAACTTTTCTGTTTTGCAGTTCTGTTATTACTGTTTCTATACTTACCAGGTGACAGAGTCATTTGAAAGTTCTCAGTTGACAAGGATCTCAACCTTGCAAAGAATATATATATTGTGCATGTAATACAGTACAAATCTAAAGTAACTGCTGAGATGCCTAGGTGGAAACTTACCTTTCTAGGTCAGGTTCCAGTGAATCTTGTTTTCCTTATTCAGAATATGGTGTTAGGTGAACTGACTCAGCTTTAAACTCTTCATATCCTGCCATGGGGAGAAAT
Source organism: Homo sapiens (assembly GCF_000001405.40). Taxonomy (NCBI): domain Eukaryota; kingdom Metazoa; phylum Chordata; class Mammalia; order Primates; family Hominidae; genus Homo; species Homo sapiens. The sequence goes on from NC_000006.12 coordinate 156,979,389, forward strand.
TACCTGCCCCAGTGATGAGTTTGGGAGGACAGGACAATGCTGTTTATATTCCTTGCTGCTGTGGGAGTATTGGAAATTACTACTTGATCTACCTGAATTTGAGCTTGGCAGTGGTCCAGGGACATTAGTGATTTGCATGAAATATAAACATGAATTATTTGAATCAGCTGTTGCTGTTTTTTTTTTTTGAGACAAAGTCTCGCTCTGTCGCCAGGCTGGAGTGCAGTGGCTCCATCTCAGCCCATTGCAACCTCCGCCTCCCAGGTTCAAGCGATTCTCCTACCCCAGCCTCCTGAGGAGCTGGGACTGCAGGCGTGCATCACCATGCCCAGGTAATTTTTGTATTTTTAGTAGAGACGGGGTTTCACCACATTGGCCAGGATGATCTCTATCTCTTGACCTCTTGATCCGCCCACCTCGGCCTCCCAAAGTGCTGGGATTACAGGCATGGGCCACTGCACCTGGCCTGTTCCTTCCTTTTTTAAAATTATTTTTATTTTTTGAGACAGGGTCTCACTCTTTTACCCAGGCTGGAGTGCAGTGGCGTGATCATAGCTTGGCTATGGCTCGGCTTCCCAAAGTGTTAAGATTACAGGCATGAGCCACCACACCCAGCCTGGTCCTTCCATTTAAACATTGATTGTAATGTGGCCTTTCCTTTTTTGCCACCTAAGTTAAAAGACTTTAAGGAAAGTATATGTAAAAATTTAGCATTTGCCATTAAACATTCATTAAAATTTTTTGTAATGCTTAGATCCGTAGTCATAGTGTCATTGTAATTTGCTAAGTATATGTGGAAAAGAATCATTGAAGGTCGGGCGTGATGGCTCACACCTGTAATCCCAGCAATTTGGTAGGCCGAGGTGGGTAGATCACCTGCGGTCAGGAGTTCGAGACCACCCCGGCCCACACAATGAAACCCCATCTCTACTAAAAATACAAAAATTAGCCGGGCGTGGTGGTGGGCGCCTGTAATCCCAGCTACTCAGGAGGTTGAGGCAAGAGAATTGCCTGAACCTGGGAGGTGGAGGTAGCAGTGAGCCGAGATCATGCCATTGCACTCCAGCCTGGGCGACAAGAGCCAACCTACATCTCAAAAACAAAACAAAACAAAACAAAATAAGAATCATTGAGCTCCTTTCTGTGTGCCAGTCAATGTGCCAGTCATTGGGGATACAGAGATGAAACCACGCAGTGCTTTTCCCGTAGGAGGAGTCCGGTTTAGTGGCAGGGCTACTCGTAGACAGTGCCGTGTAAAATCGCCTGCACTGTTGTGGCTGAGGATCTGCAGGAGCCTGAGCAGGGATCCCTGGAGTGGAGGGACGGCCTTTGAGACAGTGGAGGGACCCGTGCAGCAGCCCGGAACCCGGCAGTCTGGGGAAAGGCTGGCAGCTTTCAATGTACCCAGGAGCTCAGATTTCAGCCTGAGGCAGTGAAGAGCCCTTGACATACAGAAGAATACACAGATACTGGTTTATATTTTTAGGGAAAATCTTTTATTATTTTAGGGAGGGTCACAGAAATTAAGTCATTTTCACTTGTTGGAAGAAACAATTTCATGATAAATCTAGTTAGTGTTTATTTTGTTGTTTACATTGTAGCATAAACATCTGTGTAATCATGGCAGGTAAGTGAAGCCACTGTTTTTGTTGGTTTAACTCATGACTTAGCAAAAACTGGAAAGGTATTTCATTTCTTGAGACTTGTAGCCACTGTCCTCCCTTGTCTACTTCTGAGGGTGAGCAGTGCTGGTGTGACTGTTAGAAAGCACTGACTTAGTCTCTTCCTCTAAGATTGCTCCAGGTCCACATGACCTGTGGGCAGGATGGATGATTGATGTCTTTCTTTTGAGGGGTGGTAGTGAAGTAGAGCATAGGGGATTATTAACCACCTAGGTAGCTGGATCAGGCAATGGAGAGTCTCTGCCGTTCTTCACATCGAGTATATAGAATTAAGCATTCAGAAACAAAAAGGAGTTAAGGCACATATATCCTTTTCTCCTAGGATAAACTGTAACCCAGGTCATCTAAGTTTTCAAAAATAGACAAAATTTAGGAATGTATGATGAATTTATAGATGATGAAAATCAAATGAAATTGTCTTGTTACATGTATATTTCTTTAGAAATGTACATATACATGCAATCATTGCTATATATTATCTTTTAAATTCCTCAGTTTGGCATCATTTACTGGCTTCCTATTAGATGAGGATTGTAGCTTGCTGTACACTGTGTCTTTCCCACTCTTCAATGTCCTACCCATCTAATCCCATCAGGTTTTGGTTAAGACTGCATTACTGTTTATGTTATTATGTCTTCTTAACTCTTGTTCACTAAGCTAAATATTGCATTATACTATACTTATACTGTAATACTATAATAACTTAGTTTTGCTTGGAGTTCATTACCTCGTTTTTTTTTCACATGCTTTTCTTTGAACATCTGACTGGGCCTTCCTGTGCCCTCCAACAACTGGGCAGTGCAGTCTTCATGCGGTCATACCTGCCAGAGAAGTTTTTCAGCTCCAGTATTTTTTCTTAAGAGACATCCCTTCTGGATTTCCATAGTCTTCACCACAATTTGGAGTGGTTGTTAACGCAGGAGATAGATGTGTACAGCCATCTCCTGGGATGTCTCTTTTTTTTTTTTTGTGACTCTTCTGTTTGCCTCATGTGTGGATCTCCCGTTTCCTAGATCACTTACCATTTTGACTGCGCACATCTTTCAGTAGCTTCTTGAGAAAATGTGAATGGGAGGTAAATTTTTTAGACCTTGCATGTTTCAAAACACCTTTACTATATACCCTCATATTTAAATTGATTGACTACATATAGCAATCCTGCATGGAAATAATTTTCTCTAAGAATTAAAAGATAAAAGCTTCTGACTTCTGCTATTACTGCTTTCTGATGTTTCCTGTTGCTGTGGAGAAATTAGATGCCATTGTGACGTTGCCCTTTCTTTCTGTGTGATCCTGGAAACTGTTAGGGTTTTCGCCTGTGATGCCCGAAATAGTGCTGTGTGTCTCTATGGGTCTTTTTTTTTTTTTTTTGTACTTCATTGTGCTGGGCACTAAGTATGTACTGTTCTTCATTTTGGGGCAATTATCTTATATAGTTATTTGGTAATTTCTTTCTCTCCCTTAATCTGCTTTCTTATTCTGGTGCTCCTGGGTGTTGGATATACTGGATTTATTGATCTTTTCTTTCCTTCACTGATTTTTCTTTTCTGTTACTGTTTTCTGCGTGGGAGATAACCTTGACTCTATCTGCCAATCTGACTGTTAAATTATCTTGTTTTTCTCTTTATATTTTTTAATTCAAAGTGTTTTTCTTTATACATAGTTCCTTTTTTAATAGCATTCTTTATTTCCTGTATGCAATCACTTTTCCTCTCTCAAGCAGCATGTTATTATTTTTTACAATGTTTCTTCTATTCCTTGCATTATCTGTTTCTTCTGAATTACCCTTTTTACTTTTTACAATCTGTTTTAGGCAGGAGGCTTCCTCAAAAGTGTGAGAATCTTTGTTCCTATTTAAGAGTGAGGTGCATTAAAGGGCTGATTGGTAGTGGTGCGTGCCTGTAATCCCAGCTACTCTGGAGGCTGAGGCAGGAGAATGGCTTGAGCCTGGGAGGTGGAGGTTGCAGTGAGCCGAGATTGCACAACTGCACTCCAGTCCGGGCAACAGAGTGAGACCCTGTCTCAAAAAAAAAAAAAGAAAAAAAAGAAAGGCCTGGCACAGTGGCTCACGCCTGTAATCCCAGCATAGGCTGAGATGGGTGGATCATGAGGTCAGGAGTTCAAGACCAGCCTGACCAAGATGGTGACACCCCATCTCTACTAAAAACACAAAATTTAGCCAGGCTTGGTGGCAGGCGCCTGTAATCCCAGCTACTCGAGAGGCTGAGACAGGAGAATCGCTTGAACCCAGGCGGCAGAGGTTGCAGTGAGCCGAGATTGTACCACTACACTCCAGCCTGGGCGACAGAGCGAGGCTCAGTCTCAAAAAACAAACAAACAACAAAAACAGGCTGGTTGGAGGCCTCCTGTGTGAGCTGGGCATGTGGACAGGTAGGCATTTCTTTGGGGTTATCATGTGATCAGCCAGCTTTTTCACTGGGGACTTCCTCATGTTGATATGTGAAATATGCTCAGGAGTAGTTTATTTTCTCCAGAGAAGACACTGGTCGTGTTCTGCTTGGAGGACATGGTGGGTGAAGTCTAAGCCTGGTTGCTGACATTACGGGGCTGGGCTGAGGGGCTTAGGGTCTCAGTGTTCGGTACTTGCTGTTAATGTACTGTGTGGCCATTTCACAAACCACCTCATCCGTGTGAGCCCTACTCGTTTCTGGTTTGGTGTCTACAATGGAAGAGGGATGATGGTGGTCAGATGCTCTGGCTTTACAAACTCTTGATTTAAATCTGGTTTTGGTCTGGTGGTCTCCAGTTCTTGAGCTGTTCAGGTTATACCAGCTGTGTTAATTTGTTCCTTCTAGTTACCCGATTTCCTGCACCCCTCAGCCAGTTAGGATTGACCTTGCTTTTCTCATTCCTGTGTTTGCTTTCCATCTACATATATTGTTAGCACTATTGTTTCCGTTTACAAATCACTTCAAAACTTCATTTTATTAAAACAATCATTTTTTTTACCTCTCCCCATTTCTTGGGATCAGGAAGTTGGGAAGGGTGGGGTTCTGGCTGGGTTTCTTGCACCTGGTTGTGGACAGGCAGTGGCTGGAGTTCGGAGGGGATTCGTTGAGCGTCTCCAGGAGGTATCAGGACAAACCTTGGAGATGGGAAACAGCACAGCAAGGCATGCTCCCACAGCAGTCCGGTGCAGCTCCAGAATGAGGGAGCCATGGCAGGGGCATTAGTTTAATAATCATTGGAACTAATTCTCTTTCCAGCTTCTCCTTGGACCTCTTCACATTTCTACCTAGATGTCTCATCAGAATGGAATTTTCAGATCCTTCCTTCTGCCCCACAGTGCTCTTTGCCATGCTCTTTTAAGGTACCAGAATACTGGGAAAAAAAGGGCGTTCTGGATAAGTGAAAATGTCCTAGGACCTGCTTGGTGTTTACTGACTTACTAGGAAGTTGATAGTGAAATGTGAAGGGTTCATGACAGTGACTTGGTGTTACTAGAAAGCAAAAGTAAAGTGAGGAACACAGGAATCTACAAGTGCTGGGTGTGGGGTAGTGGGTGGGGTGCAGTTGTGGGTGAAACTTCAGTGTGAAATTTGGAATCAGAACATTTAGCTGAGTCTAAATGGAGTTTCTTACTTTTCTTTCCTTTCATTTCCTTTTCCTTTTTTAGAGAGGGTCTCGCTCTTTTGCCCAGGCTGGAATGCAGTGGTGCAGTCATGGCACACTGCAGCCTCAACCTCCCTGGGCTCAGGTGATCCTCCCACCTCAGCCTCATGAGTAGTTGGGACTACGGGCATGCATGCACCACCACATCTGGCTAATTGTTTTGTATTTTTTGTTGAGACGGGGTTTTGCCCTGTTGCCCAAGCTGGTCTTGAACTCCTGGACTCAAGCAATCCACTCATGTCAGCCTCCCAAAGTATTGGGATTACAAGTGAGAGCCACTGCACCTGGCCAGTACTTTATTTTCATACAGAGACTGAGAGTAAGACTTCATTTCCAAATAAAAGTAGGTTATTAAATATTGCTTTATATATTTTTAAAGTTCTTACAGAAAGAAAGCTTCCATATACTCTAGACCATTTTGAGATTCTTTCAGGCTGTGACTCTTAAGGTCAGCTACATTTTTATTGACAGCAATCCTGGAAGAAAAGTAAAGAGAAGTGAGAATATAATGTTGTGATTCTGTTAAAATCACTCAAAATGCTTGAAATTGATAATACTTTTTGGCATGTTTCTTTCTAAAATCAATGTGATAATATCCGCTGCATTGATAAACATAGTTAGCAAGCATTTTTGTACTTAGCGTTTGTGTATAAAATGTAAAGGAAGGTTTTTTAATTCAGAGAAGGTGCTCATGTTTGAAAGACAATATATGGATCTGGAAGAAGTAAAAGTAAATCTTTAAACTCTAATTGCAAGGCTGTCTGCTCATATTTAATTGACACACGTTTAAACATTGGTTGTAATGGATTGTTTGCCATTTAACTGACATTAACGACCTCAGTTAACTCATGTTTTTATATTACATTGGCTGTTTATTTTTTGTTAATTTCCCTTTAGTGTTCAGCTTCCCATACATTAAAAGTTTTGCTTTTTATAAACAACTACTGTGTCTTGAATCTCTTTTTATTATTAAAACTTTCACACATGTATTGGGTTTAATTGCATATACTTTTTGTAGCCTGAAAATGTGAACCATATGATAATAAAACTTAAACGTCTGCACATTGCTACAAAACACAGCTCTGTAAGGGAACACATATCTAAATATCATCATCCTGTCCAAGTCACTCTCAGAGATGTGACTGTGCCCTGCCTGGCTCATCTCGGATCAGGACAACGCCTGCTTCTGGGTTTGTTGGATGGGAATTAAAAGCAAAGCTGAAGCAGAACCTTTACTGCTTTATTTCGAGATGTAATGTCCTGTTGCACCGAGTAATTTTCAGTAAAAGTATTCCTGCCTCCTGCGATTTTTCTGTCAGTTTTTGTTAATTTCTGGCAAAATTCCTTTACTTGGAAGGCTTTTTGTCTTTGATCTGTGAGGATTCACAGAGGAAGGGAAAGCGATCTAGGGAGGATCTCTAGCTCTTCCTTTTGGAGTTACCTAATTTTCATTTTTATCACTTACCTGTCCTCAGGTGTCAAGGCCTCAGGACTGGTTTTGTTAGTCACTCTGACCTTCCTCTCAGCCCCTTCACTTGTTAAGTAGATAACACCTGTATGGGAAGGTATTGGATTTTTAATTATTAGAGGGACACATCCTCTTTCTTGAACAGGCTTGTAGCTAATTGTTATTAAATACAAAATTTCATTTCAGTTTTAATTTCTGTTTAATAAAAAGCTTTTTAAGTCTCCAAAGTTTGTCTAATTATTTTTAAGCTTATTCAAAGCCTGAACCCCCTGCACGGTAAAATCATCAGCATAAGAGACAGCAGGGGCTGGTAGTTAGGCCCTTGCGTTTGAATCTGGCTCTGTCACTCGGTCAGCTTGTTTCATTTCTTGTGCTTCAGTTTCCTTACCTACAAAATGGGACAACAGAACTTATGTCTTCGGTGAAGATTAGCACGTGATGTGCTTAGAGCATTGCCCGGCTCATAGTAATTACTCAGTAAATGCTTGCTGTTACTGTTGCTATGACTATTATTATTAAAGAGCTTTCGATACTTCTACACAGACTACAGTATAGTTATCTGGACCTAATTTTTTTTTAAGGCCAATGCTACCATTTTAAAAGGAAACTCAGCTGTCAGCATAATGGTAGTAAAGTGGTAGCAAAATGATAGTAAAGTGATTAAACAGGATTAAAACACAAACTGGCTGTTCATTATATGTACTTTGTATTAATAAAACAACATAGGCCGGGTGCGGTGGCTCATGCCTGTAATCCCAACACTTTGGGAGGCTGAGGTTGGCAGATCGCTTAAGCCCAGGAGTTTGAGACCAGCCTGGGCAACATAGCAAGACCCTCATCTCTACAAAAATATAAAAAATTAGTCGGGTGTGATGGTGTGCCTGTCGTCGCAGCTGCTCAGGAGGCTGAGGTGGGAGGATGGCTCTAGCCCGGGAGGTCCAGGCTGCAGTGAGCTGTGATACTGCCACTTCACTGTAGCCTCGGTGACAGAGAGAGAGAGAGAGAGAGAGAGAGAGAGAGAGAGAGACCCTGTCTCAAAAAATTAAAAAACTAAAAGCAAAATATAAGATGGGGTCACCTGTTTTTCTTCCATTCTAGAGAGATAATTACAGCTAATATTTCTGTTTCCTTTTTCTAGTCAGTTTTCTAGATACCAGTGCTAGTTTTTTTTTTTTTTGAGACGGAGTGTTGCTCTGTCTCCCAGGCTGGAGTGCAGTGGCACGATGTCCGCTCACTGCAAGCTCTGCCTCCCGGGTTCGCGCCATTCTCCTGGCTCAGCCTCCCAAGTAGCTGAGACTACAGGCGCCCGCTACTGCACCCGGCTAATTTTTTATATTTTCAGTAGAGATGGGGTTTCACCGTGTTAGCCAGGATGGTTTCGATCTCCTGACCTTGTGATCCGCCCGCCTCGGCCTCCCAAAGTGCTGGGATTACAGGCGTGAGCCACCACGCCCGGCCCAGTGCTAGTTTTGTGCCTGTATTTTCTGCTTTTTTCATTTGACATCACTTGAATTTCCTTAGCTTGTGGAATCTTTTGTTTTGTTTTGCAAACTTAATATATTCTCATACTTGATAGTTATAGTAATACATAAGCTTTAGTCATTGACAGGCCCCATTAGCCCTTGTTTATGTTATTTACCCTTCAGAGTATCTTGCTCGAATCTAGAATCGTGGCCTGTTGAGACTTTATTCCTTTGAGTTGAATAGTACCTTTCTGTACTTTCTGTAATATGTTTTTGAATATACATATGAAATACAATGCAAGTAATTAATCTATAGCAGATAATAAGTGTGTGCATGATGGTGATGTTGGGGATAATGGAATATCGTGGAAATGGTCAATATCTTAGTCTTTCTTTCATTCTAGATGCTTACTGTTGGTACATATAGGCAAAACACTCTAAAAAAATCTGATCTATTGGAATTCAGATTTGTCACAACTAGTTTTAGGGTGAAGGTAGAGGGATTATTGTTCAAGGATTTAGCTGGAGACGCACTTAGTAGTTACAAACCGGGAGCTTGAAGGGTGAGAAGGGAGTTTAAGGGGATAGGATAAAAAACAGACCAGTAATATGCTAAATAATGTAAACTTTTGGGCCAGTGACTTAATTTACATATGCCCAATTTGTGTGGTGTTTCAAAGGAACACTTCTGTTTTAAGTGAGGTGACTCACATTTTGTACTGTCTTCATTCATGCATGTGTGGTGCCTGCAGCCTGCCACTGTTTTTTGTGCTTATCTCAGGGGATTCGCTGCAAACCATGGTGAGGGGGAGGGGAGGAACGGCTAGTGCATCCATGGAGTCCTTCTCTGGCTTCTCCTGGCCACTCCTTCCATAGTTTAAATGGGGGCAGCACATCCTCTTGCTTCTACTAGGAAGTGAAAAGTCTTACTAGCAAGGAGTTAAGGACTGCCAGAGGAGCTTTCTTACCTGCCAGCTCTGGACATCTCATTTCCTGTTTGTCTGAATGCATGTGCAAGCTTAGGAACTTGCCCACTGCAGCATCCAACACAGCTGGTTTGCCTGTGTTTCAGGAGAGTGGGGAAGTGCGCTTCAATCACTTCCGACACACTTCAGCATGTTGAGCCATCTGATAGGGAGGGACATTGGTGCGTTTTACTGCCTTCTTCCTATGCACCTGGAGCTTTTGTTATCTCAACTGACCAGTTCCTTACCTGTAACCTGGATTAGGGAATGGCAGCCAGTATTCATGACAGTTGCATATGTGCGTTCTTACAATCAGAGAAATGTGCCATAAAAATAATTTCTCATTTTTTGCCTCTGTGTATTCTGCTCCTGTAGCTTGGACCCATGGCCACATTAAGGCCATGTTGTCACAGGGATCTACCATACTCTATTGACTTTTCTTGTGTTCTGCCATCCTGCTCTTACAACACAGAGAGCTGAGAGTGTTGTGATCTCCTACTCCCATTCTTTGAGCTCCCTTTTGGATTTAACTTCTTGGCCATGTTTATCATATTTTATTCGTATTACTCCTGATTATTTCACTCCCTGGTTGCTTTGCGAAACCCCTCTAAGTCAGGTCAGCCACACTATGTCTCTACTCCCACGTCTTCCATGAAACACTGCTGGGACAAAATTTCACAACTTTGGCTGTTGGCATTTTTGCTACAAAGGATCGTCTTATGTCCTGGTGGTCAAGGTGAAGTAGGATTATATCTTTTTGCGGTTATGAAGATTCCAAGCAAAAGAGAAGATAATGATGCATTTAACAGTCACAAGATAATACATGTTAATCTTCAAAAAGTTTTGGGAATTCGTCATAGCTGTACTATACAAAGCCAGTGTATAAATTGAAATTCTAAAGTTTTACTCAAAGGTAGATAGTCATTAAGTAAGGACCCTGGGGGTGATACATATTTGGCCTTTAATCCCAATTGGGCCGCCCCATAGTTGTGTGACTGTGGCCAAATTACTTAACATCTCTAAGCCTCACTTTCCCCATCTGTAAAATGGAGATGATAATCTACCCCACAGGCTAGTCTGAGGAGTCAGTGAGATTCCCCTTGACTTCAGTATTGAAATTAGCAATGTTTGCTGATTTATTAAGTGTACATCCAATAAATGCCTTGTCAAGAGTGCTGATGGCGGGGATAGTTGAGGTGATGGTGGGAGTGGCAGTAGCAGTGGTAGATGTATGTTACCTCCCGGGTGATGGGAGTCTTCTGTATTGCTGCCATGTGGGAGAATGATAGGAAATAGTGATCTCATATTTAATCAGAGGCATCTAAGCTTATGGTTGATACCTTTGATATAATTCTTGCCAATTAATTTGATTTTCAACCTTTACAATGAATAATGTAAAATTTCTTATACAGAAAGTATTTAATTCAGTGAATACTTAGGAGCACATGTTCTCTTACCGGACTTACTATTTGGGGAGCAAAAATATGAATAGGAAGTGGTGTTTGTCCTTAGAGAACTTGAGATCCAGTGAGTTGTAGAGTCAATGGACTGGTTACAGAACAGATTTCCTTAACTTTTTTTTTTTTTTTTTTTAAAGAGAGTCTCATTCTGTGGCCCAAGCTGGAGTGCAGTGGCAGCATCATAGCTCACTGCAGCCTGGAACTCCCGGCTCAAGCGATTCTCCCACCTCAGCCTCTTGAGTAGGTAGGGCTGCAGGCACACACCACCACACCGGGCTAATTTTTCAAAACAGCTTTTGTAGGCCGGGCGCTGTGGCTCACACCTGTAATCCCAGCACTTTGGGAGGCCAAGGCAGGCGGATCACAAGGTCAGGAGATCAAGACCCTCCTGGCCATCATGGTGAAACCCCGTCTCTACTAAAAATACAAAAATTAGCTGGGCGTGGTATCATGCGCCTGTAATCCCAGCCACTCGGGAGGCTGAGGCAGGAGAATCACTTGACCGAGGGAGTTGGTGGTTGCAGTGAGCCGAGATCGCACCACTGCACTCCAGCCTGGCGACAGAGCAAGACTCCGTCTCAAAACGAACAAACAAACAAACAGAACATCTTTTGTAGAGACAGGGTCTCATCTTGTTTTCCAAGCTGGTCTCAAACTCCTGGCCTCAAGCCATCCTCCTTCCTCAGCCTCCCAAAGTGCTAAGATTACAGGTGTGAGCAGCTGTGTCAGGCCTTTTCCTGACATAGGAACCTTTTAACCCTTGGTTTTATTTTATATTTTTGCTCTATTGCATTTACTAACAAATTAAGTATCATAAATGGCTTTTCATGGTGAATCATATTTCACAGCCAAGATGATTAATAATTATAACTATAATAGTAACAACAACTAACATTGATTGAGGGTTTACTTATGAGCTAGGCACTTTTGCAAACATTTTACATGTATTAACTCATTTAATTTTCATGACATTCCTATGAGGGCTGTTATTAGTCTTGTTAGTTCTACTTCCTCATGAGGCTCTGAGGAGCAGTAACTTGACTTGCCGACTGTTGCACAGTTGGTACACATGGCAGAGACAGTTTCAACCCTGGCAGTCTGGGCCTGCAGATGCTAGCCTGTCTCTTGTGATACTCATTGGGAAATGGGGATGCATTTCTTTCTTTTTTTGTTTCTGTTTTTGTTTTTTGAGACGGAGTTTCTCTCTGTCGCCCAAGCTGGAGTGCAATGGTGCGATCTCGGCTCACTGCAACCTCTGCCTCCTGGGTTCAAGTGATTCTCTTGCCTCAGCCTCCCAAGTAGCTGGGATTACAGGTGCCCATCACCATGTCTGGCTAATTTTTTGTATTTTTAGTAGAGATGGGGTTTCACCATGTTGGCCAGGCTGGTCTTGAACTCTTGACCTCAGGTGATCCACCCACCTCAGCCTCCCAAAGTGCTGGGATTACAGGCATGAGCCACTGCGCCTGGCACATTTCTGTATTAAGCTAGGATTGTCTATGTTATTGTACCAAATCAGAATTAGAGAAATGTTGAGGGGAAAAGTTCATACTTATATCTTTCTTACACTCTTCTTGAACTTCAGTAAATTAAAGGATATTTTCCTGAATACATTATTAAGGTACTGATTTTTAATTTATTTTAATTAGGAATAATTGGAACTTAGTATGTTTTCATACACATAGTAATAAATTATTCTAAACGTCCTGAGTTTTTTCCCAAACATTTCAGTATTTCAAAAGTTCTATTGAAATGAGATGCATTATCTATAAACTGCCCTTTATTTTGTACCTTAATTTGCTTCTCCAGGACATGTTTGTTCAAGTGTATATTTAAAAATTTTTAATCTTGAAAATTAGCCAAAGATATTTAACAAATTTGTAATCCTAATTTAATAACAAAGAAAACATTTTTGAAAAGTCAATAAAGTTTACAAAGATCTCTTGTCATGAACTCTTGTTATGTCTAAGTAACCTTAGACATAGGCATTATTTTACAGTTTACTTTTCTTTCCAGTAGAAATATTTTATGGAGAGTGTGTAATGTGTATGCTATGTATGTCATGTATAATAACTGTACAGGGTAGTATGTCAATGCAGATTGCACTAAGCTAACATTTTAGCTCTTGGGTTTCTGTATTTCCTGCTGTGAAATATTAACTAGTTGTAGATACAGACATGAGTGTGCTTGTGTGTGTGTTGTAGTCCTTCATCTGGGAAAGCTATTGGGTATCATTGCAGTTCGGTTGCTCCCTTCTAAGTTTCTGAGGTTCATGGGGAAAAAAATAACATGTAACTGTTATATGTTAATATCTCGTCATCTCCCAAGTAAAATATAAAAAGCCAATTACTTTTGAGTTATTATCACAGCCTCTGAATTTAGAAGATGGTTAATTTGTTTTTAGTGGTTCCACAGCTTTGTTCTAAGATATGTGTTTTCAGTGTTCGTGAGCATCTTCGTGAGTTTTCTGTTTGTTTTCCTTATCAGAAAAGGCACCCCGGGAATGGAGGGGACAGACGGCTAGCACCAGGGCCGTAGGTTTTGGAGCGGGAGGTATTCAGAACGGCCTCCCATCTGTGGGGCCTGGGCACTGATAAAACTTGCAGTGGCTGTCTGGCTTCTCCAGAGCAGCCGTGGCCTGTTTCTGCGCAGAGGTCACTGGGCCTTGGAAGACTGCCCTGGCTATGGAGCGGTCCCAGTGGGTTGCAGGCACTGTGCGGTGGGCAACATAAGGGTCAGCACCAGGCACAGCATTGGAGGGAGCCGCCGGCTGCAGACTGGATTGCCTAGCACCTCTCTGTCACTCTGCAGTTAGCCAAGTTTATGTTTTGGATTTAAAGAAAGAAATCAACTGTGATTTAAAAAAATAGTATTCAGTGAATTAAAAGACCTTGTAAATCAGTCTAAAATTCAGATGCCTTCTGTAGGGAGCTGAATGTTTATCAATGAGCCATTTTAGGCCATAATTGTATATATATGCTTTCGCTTTTTTTTTTTTTTTTAAGATGGAGTCTCTCTCTGTGGCCAGGCTGGAGTACAGTGGCATGATCTCGGCTCACTGCAAACTCCGCCTCCCGGTTCAAGCGATTCTCCTGCCTCAGCCTCCTGAGTAGCTGGGATTACAGGCAACCGCCATCATGCCTGGCTAATTTTTGTATTTTTAGTAGAGATGGGGTTTCACCATGTTGGCCAGGTTGGTCTTGAACTCCTGACCTCAGGTGATCCACCAGCCTCAGCCTCCCAAAGTGCTGGGTGGCGTGAGCCACTGCGCCTGGCACATTTTAAATATATCTAATGAGACCTACATTCTTATTGTAACGAAGGATAGGGGAAATTTCTTTTTGGCCTCAAGTTTTTAGCAAAAGTATTCTGCTAGCTCAGTATGGTGATTCTGACCACAAGCAGTTATTTCCTATTTTGCAAGATGTGTGTGTAACTTTATATATTAGTTTACAGATAGACGTGATGCTTGGATAACAAAATATATTAGACCTTTAAGGCTATGATATTATACTATTTTAGATTCTCTGAAATACTGATTTTTCAGACTGGCCATTGAAGTTATATACCTAAGGATAGTGCCAAACAACAATCCCAACTTTCAAAATTTTTTGAATGTAGTAGGAATAATATTTATTCCATTGACAAGCATGGGTAGAACCATTGCTCTTTAGTAAAAGCCAGAAACAAAACAGTCTTGTTTCTTTTTGAAGTAGCCTGTTGACTTGTTGCTGTTAACTCTTAAATTTCTGTTGATAAATATGGATAATATGTCCAAAAATTTATAAAAATCAAATGGAAATTTTAAGTTTATCTCTTCGTAAAATATATGTCTATCAAACATTTTGCTGAATAGGTAATATAAATATCAAGTGGCACTTATTCAAATTATAAAATAAATACTTATTGAATGTGTCAGGCTCACAGATGCCATTGTACCATAACAGAAAGCATTATGTAGGAACGTGAAGTTTGTCAGGTATGTAGAAATTGAGATGCACATTTTTAAACTTTTGGTCATTTTTTTTGTTCATGATTTCTGTGCTTGCTTTTTCCATAAGTACATTTTAAGAATACTTGATGCAGTGAGGGTAGAAATAGTGACTGATTTAAAAAGTTTTTTGCCCTTAATGAAGGGTTAGAATGGGTCACCTATTTACAGTCCCTGTAGATCCTTGAACTCTGTTTACCGTGTATGTGGGTCTGCGTTCTCTTTCAATAACAAGCCATTTTCAGTCAGATCTGACTGTATACATAGGTGGCAGACAGTCTTAATGCAGAAAGCGCTAATGGGTTTTAAAGCTTCCAGCATACTCTCTCAGCAGTTTAGATTCCAGAGAACGCCCTCTGATTGTTTCCGGATCTCCATAGAAGAATTTACGAGGCTCCGTTATTGATTTACTTCCTCCAAAAGGAGGAAATGATACTTAAAACAAATATACAAAAAAAAATACCTTTATAAAATGCTTTTCCTAGGTAAAAACCAGTCCTCATTCCTGGATAATCAGAGGCAGCTTAAAAAAAAAAAGCAAAACTATTTTGAAAACATATGTTAAGTCTGTAGGGTGAACGCACGCCCATTATGGGCAACCTGATCTGGGCCATCCCCTGTGCTCTGCCTCCAATTCTCAACGGTTCCCTCCAGTGTCAGTGACATTTAGTAACCTGTCCAAGACCAGACAGAAGACTCAGTCCAGCCCAGGGCTGCCTAGGATTGTCCTCCACCAGTGGACAGACCAGTGGTCTCTGTGTCCCGGTGTGCCCTCACAGGAGTGCCTGGAGAGGTTCTCTTACCCTGAACACGGTGTCACTAGCTCTCCCAGCCATGCACCAGTGCCTGCCAGAACATGACGGTTGGGTTATTCTTACTGTCCTCCCCTGTCAGCTGGGGCTGGGTGGACTGAGGGCAGAAGAGTCAGGGCCACTTACCAAGACTTAGGTCTGAGCAGACTGACTTTGCAGGGGCCCCTCTTGCACCCCTGGAATGTGAGGATCTTCAGCAGAGGAGGACCTGCACCTTCCTAGGCACGTCTGTCTCTGAAGAGGGCCCTACTGGTACCAGAGGAAGTGGGGCTGTGCCCTCTTCTCCCGGGCTTAGGACTCCAGGTGTACCTGAAGACAGACGGTAGGAAGCCTGAGGTGACGTACGAATGAGCCCCTGAAAAGTGAATTTCATTTTCTTTTCTTATTCACTGCTTCTCACTGAAAAGAACTCTGTTTACCTGAAAGGTACAAAAGGAGCCAAAGAGAAGGTAGCAATTTTAAATAGCTGACCTGAACCTTATTTTTACAAAGGACCTGTACAGTGTCCTGACTTAGGAACCTGCTGATTAGAATTCTTTATGGACAGAGATTGTCTTGAATAAGTAGGAGAGTTTTGGTAACTCTTCTGAGCAGGCTGCCTTCCAAGGATTAAGTATTTGTTGCTGAAAACCATGTGGTCATATAGTGTATTCTAAGTATCTGTTTTGCTCCAAGCCCAGGGTACTGTACTAGGAACTGAACAATTTGGGACTAGATCCTCAAGCCTGCTACTTAGTAACCTTTTTGAGCTTCTAGACTTCACTGACATGGACAAGTGCAAGTGAGAAGATGTGCTTAGTGACAGAGTGCCCAAATATTCAATTATCGTCAGTGCTGTACCAGCTGCTATTAAGCTATCACCAGATGAGATGGAGAATCTGCAGCCTAGTAACGTGTTTCATGTCATTGATGTGGAAGTAGAATTACCAGATAAAATACAGGACGCACGGTTAAATTTGAATTTCAGATAAACAAGGAATAATTTCCTAGCTTAAATGCGTCTTATATATTACATGGAACATATTACATAGGACATGTTACTCAATCTGGCAACCCTATAGAAAAAGAATTCACTTGAGTGATGAGAAGAGTCCTCTCTCCCTGTGATATAAGCTGCGGAAAAACCTCAGGACCCCACACAAAATTGGAATGCTTATATTTTAGCTCCCCTAAATCTTTAAACTCTTCAACAGTAAGGGCTAAATCCTTTGACTCTGTAGCAAATTCAAGCACTGTGTGAATAATAGAAATATCTTCTATCCTCCAAAATCTTAATTTTTCTTAATTTTTTTCAAAAGCTTGGGTGGTAAGGAGTAATCTAAGCCACAGGCTGGATGCTGCTATTAGGTTCTCTCTGCAGGTGTTCGCAAAAACTGTAAGGAATGGCTTCAGAGCTGAGCTCTAACTCAAGTAAGGATTTCTTTTCCTGCAGCGAGGTCATGTCTTGATGAGACTCTAGGGCAACCAGATGGGACGGAGTATTCTGAAATGTCCCCAGTCCCTCTGAAAGGGAATCTTGTAAAGGCATCCTCAACAACCTACCACCTTCATGGTGTGCCTGGTTAGAGATAGGATGATAACATGGAAAGAAATTGTACTGAACCAGAAGGTGAGTCATGGCTCTGTCTCTGGGCCTCCATTTGTTTCTCTTCAAAATGGGATAATATATACCCTCAATGCATTGTTATGGAAACCAAAAATAAGTAATAGATCAAAATATGTAAAAGTATTTTGTAGATTGTGGAGTACTTTAGAGACAGAGGGTATTAAGCCTACTAATACTACTCTTGTGCTGCATTTTGGGTTTTTTTGGAAGTTTTATCAAGTTTTATAAAAAAAGAATGTGAATTTTAACCCATATTAATACCTCATATTAAATTAGATTTTTGCTGTATAACAATTAATAAATGTTGGGAATTGGAATTGCAGTTTTACAATTGCGTTAATGTCCAAATTAAAATCAGCAGCCTGACTGATTGAATGTTTTGTTTTTTAAATCACACATTTGCCTGAATTGTTCATGTTAGTAGATAGCCATGATAATCTTTTAATCTACGACTTAAAAGTTTCTGAGAAAATATGATATTTGATGTTGAGAAGGGAAAAAAACGTGTGTTATTCATAGAGAGTATGGTATGCAGTCTGGTGAATTTGTCCTAGTAAACCTGATTTTTAGCATTACTTAAGACATAAATTCTCAATCTCCAAGGAATTATTTTTAAACATATTATTTTCACAAGTACCCGTGAATGGATGTGGTCTATGGGAAACACCAAAATAGATATAAAATTGATGGTCTTAAAATTTGTGATTTACCATGCATGTTACATTAGTTATTTGTATAAACATGATGTTGTTCCTCTTTGACAGAATTTAGAGGTTGGATACTTGATGCATCTGAAGAAACCATAGAAGTTTGCGATTATATTACAGAATTCCTCTCATGTCTGTGCAAAAACCCTGCACTCTGTGTTACAGCTCTTCAGTCTATTTCCTATTCTGTAAATAAATGTCTAGGTATTGTAATTATACATGTGGCATCCTTTTTACTTTAGTATTGAAATAACAATTCTTTATATCGTCACTGTCATGAATTCTTACCTTTGAATAGCACTTTATAGCTTTCGGGATGTTTTCTCTTATTATCTTATTAAATATTTACAATTACCAAGAGGTAAACATGGTAGGCATGTTTATCCTCTCTATGTAAGAAGTAACAGATGTAGAGAAATTCTTATTTACAAAGTTCAGGTGGGAAGTAGTAGAGCTGAGATTTAAACACTTGCATTTTAACTTGTTTTTTTTTTTTTTTGCTGTTATTTCCACCATACCATACTGTTTTCCACAAGAACCATCATTTCTAGAACTTTATATTTAAGTTTACATTAGCATAAAGGAATGCATTTGAATATCTAAAGATTCTCCTATTAAGAATTGGCGTGAAACTCTGTATACATATATTATTTCTGAAAGATTTACTGGAAGACTGCAATTACACAAAATAAACTATAAGCATAAAGACATCATTATCCCAGGGAATTGTTTATCTGCAAATGTGAATACTAGAAAAGTGTTTATAAATGTTAGAAGAATGGGTGCAAATAAATTCTTATGGGACAATAATATGGGGTCTATTTTACCTCTTTCCGTTTAACGCTTAAGAGGAACCTCGTCATCGTGACTACTCCAGAGCATGGATTATGGGTGCTGTGCGGGCTTGCAGTCCTTGCATCTGTGCTTCTTGGTATGGATAGAAAGCAACTCTGAAGATGTTCGTGATATGACAGTAGAGTGTGCCTAGATCTAGCTTTTCTGTTTTGCTCCCCTCTCCCAATCTTGATCTCTCTCTCTTTTTTTTTTTTTTTTGGTGGGCGGGGGTCAGAGTTTCCACTCTGTCACCCAGGCTGGAGTGCAGTGGCGCGATCTTGGCTCACTGCAACCTCTGCCTCCCAGGTTCAAGCGATTCTCCTGCCTCAGCCTCCTGAGTAGCTGGGACTACAGGTGTGTGCCACCATGCCCGGCTAATTTTTTCTTGTATTTTTAGTAGAGACAGGGTTTCACCGTGTTAGCCAGGATGGTCTGGATCTCCTGACCTCGTGATCCACCCGCCTCGGCCTCCCAAAGTGCTGGGATTACAGGCGTGAGCCACCGCGCCTGGCTCTTGTTCTCTTTTGAAAGAAGTTGAGAAAAGTTCCAAGAGGTGGAAGGGGCACGAGGAATGACTGCTGCGAGCTGACAGTGGCTGTGCAGCCGACAGCAGCCTCACACCAGTGGACTCATCCTGAGGCTGGAGATTGGCTTTCTCCAGCTCAGTTGTTGAGCGGGGAGCTGCGATGGAAGCAACACCACACATGAAAGTTACATTTCTTTATTCATGTCTAAATTGGTCTGTTTAACAATAGTAGGGAGAAAATCAACAACTGCATTTTCTCTGGGCCTCTATTCTGTGATAAAATGGTAACTCCAAGCTGTATTTATTCTGCCTGGAAAAGAGGAAGAAAGCGTTCTTTTCCTCCAATTATGGTGGAACGCGGCCCTTGAGAAAATACCGTGGAGCCTTTTGAGCAGGCTTCACTGGTGTGAGAACACATTCCAAGTTAAATCAGCAGAGCTACTGGAAGGAATGCAAGGTGGGAGAGGGGGAAGTTTATATGTTTCTCTCTTCAGTGGTGACTTTAGCTTCATGTGACATGTCCTCAAACCTTCTGGGCCAGTGACTTTCAACCCTGGTGGCTGTGGCGGTGCTGCAGTCACACTAGGTTGGAGACTGGATGCGCCATGAGTCCTGTACTTACGTATGAGGCACAGCTGCTTTCCAGTGTAGGAATTTACTGTAATGGTCAGTACATTAGGATTTCATTTAAAACCTTCATATTAACTAGTTATCCTTGGGATATGCTGGTTAACAGCATGTAATCAGTCAGATAAAGCCCAACTGTGCATACAAGTTATGTGACATTGGAAAGGATTCTTGATTTCTGTGAATTATAATTTCCTCATGTATAAAACGAAGGTCACAATCCCTCTGTAACAATGGCTCTTCAAAAGGTTAGAGGAGCCAGGGTATGACCCTGGCACTTAAAGGCCCAATAAAGCAGTCACTATTATTGTTGCAGTCAGCAAATACAAAACAAGAGCTGCTGTCACATGGGGGTTCAAGACATTGTCACTCTCTTTTCCATTGTTGCCATTGGTTTCCCACACTGATGCTAGTGATGAAGAGCCTTAAGAAACACAGGCAGCAGGGTGGTCTGTTAGGAAGCGTGTGTGTTTGTGTTGTCTGGGTACGTGAGCATGCAGGTGCTGCTGAGCCCCGTCAGCAGCTCACCTTTTCAACAGATATTTAGGACCTGCCTGCCTCTCAGTGCCAGCACACTTTGAGGCACTAGGAACACAGCAATGGAAAAACAATTCCACTGTTCGGCTTCCCAAAGTTCTGGGATTACAGGCGTGAGCCACCATGCCCGGCCTAAACACCCATTTCTAATAAAGCATGCCCAGGTTAGAAATCACAGTTGCTGCTCTCAGGGAGCTTGTGTTCTAGAAGAGAAAGACAACCAATAAGTTAAAAAGATAATGTCAGAAAGACATGCTTGCTGTGCATAGAGTGAAATATGGTGACATGGAGTGAGTGAGTGAGTGGGAGGCTGATTTCTTTTGGGCAGTCAGAGAAGACAACCTGGTGGAGGACATAAATCTGCAACTAAAATCTGAAGGAGAAGGAGCCACCTAGGCAAGGGTTTGACAAGAGAGCATTCTGGGTAGAAGGATGGCTGAGGAGAAGGCCCTGCTACAGGAACAGGTGGGACGAAACTGGAGATGCGTCCTGGGAGGCTGGAGAGGGAGGGAACCAGGGCCAGAGTCTCCCTCCTTGAATGAATTCTAAAGCTGACTGGAGTCTGCAGGCTTCTTTGCCATGTTTCTGAATAGCACTCCAGAAAAATCACTGTGAACCAGAGGGAAGTAGGCTGCTTTGCCTCTGGAAACTTATCTTAGTTATCAAATGGAGATCTATTTTATATCTATTTCTTTGTGATGGGGATGTGAGAACAGTAAAGTAAATGTAAAAACATCCTGTGTACTATGAACCAAAAACAAATTGAAAAGAAATATTGTAAAATACTGTGTCATATTTTGTAGTCTGAAAACAATTATAGGACTAATCCTAAAATCCTAATTTCACATGTAATTATTTACTTGGTATTTAGCATGCTATATGGATGTGGAACAATGTTCTTACATTTTCCCACCAGCATTTTGGGGGTAGAGTGAGTGATTCCTCCAATAATTATGATGGATTTACACCCTTTCTAAACACCCATTTCTAATTATTCTTTTTTTTTTTTTTTTTTTTGAGACAGAGTCTTACTTTGTTGCCCAGGCTGCAGGGGTGCGTTCTCGGCTCAGTACAACCTCTGTCTCCCAGGTTCAAACGATTCTCGTGCCTCAGCCTCCTAAGTAGCTGGGATTACAGGTGTGCGCCACCACGGCCAGCTACAATTTTATATTTTCAGTGGAGATGGGGTTTCACTACGTTGGCCAGGCTGGTCTCAAACTCCTGACCTCAAGTGATCCATCTGCCTCGGCCTCCAAAAGGGCTGGTATTACAGCCATGAGCCACTGTGCCCGGCCTAAACACTCATTTCTAATAAAGCATGCCCAGGTTAGAAATGACTGTTGTGGCAACATTTCATGGCATCTTAAATGCTCTAGAATACATTTTATAGCTATCAATTCCTTCAGAATTTGAAACACATTTAATCTCTAAAGCTGTTCTCTTAAGGCATGCAGCAAGGAAACGGGGTAGGTGAAGATGCCTGGCTGAGCACATGCTGTATTCTAGGTTCATTTTCGAAGATATCTTTGCCACAGCACCCAGATTGAAATGGTCTCATTTTGAAGGTGAAGGAACTGTTGCTCCGAGAGGGATCGCTCACGAGTAGTGGAGCCGAGATCGAATCTGTGTTAATTCGGAGCTCAGTCTCTGTCACGTCCCCCTCAGTCTACCTGGATAAATATGAGAAGTGCAGGCTTTCATCTGAACCGTCCTCTGACCAGCTGCAGATGACGTGAGGTTCTGGTTCACTTTACACATTTCGTCCGACGTCTCCTTTCTAGGGGAGAGGAGCCTGAGACCAACCATCGAAGCAGCTACTTCATGGTCTCCCTGTTTTAAGTTATTGAAGGTCCCAAAAGAATGCAGCAGACATTTGTTATTGAGCATTTAAAATGCCAGGGGACCTTGTTTGATATATTACGCAGTACTACATCTGAGCTATATGTGGGTTTTTATTTATATTGACAAAAACAGAAAACAAAATGAGAAAGTGGAAGTTTTTGTATTCCTGGGCTTATAAGCATTTAAGATGCAGTTGTCCCCCTCCTTGCCCTTGGCCGATTGACTCATTACTTCAGCTTTTAGATTCTGAGAAGGTGGAGCCTATGGCAGGTGGCAAAGGGGAGATGGTGGTCTCCTGGAATCCCCCAGGAATTCGGCCGGAGGAGAGATGGACTGAGTTTTGGCGATAGGTCGCACACCTTACCAACAGCAGGCGGCGAGGGCTCCCCACGCTGCTCGTTTCCAGAGGTGCCTCGTATTATTGAGAAGGCGTGCAGTGAATGAAAATGTGTCCACACAGCTCCTGCTCTGCCTGTGACATTGGGTTGCTGTATATTAGCTGGGATAGTATATTTCAAATTGCTTTCTCAATTGCAAAGTATGGTAGAAATAAATATTCGCTTTAATTTAGTAACTAGAACTTAGAAAAGTTCCTCCTGTTTCCTGATTGCCAAGTCGGGATGAGAAATAGATTTCATAATTATGATACAACTTGATATCTTGAGATAAATGTTTAACTTTGAAAGTTAAACATGGTATTTTTTAAACTTTATCATTTTGTGTTCATTTTGCACATCTCTATACCTCCAATTTTGAAAAGAATTTCTCCCAAAGTTATCTTTATGTTATCTTTACTCTCTGCTTACTGTTTTAGTTTGGAGGCTTCTCCTTTAACCTGTGGATTCTAAAAGCCTTCTAAATCTGTGAGAGGACTAAAAATTTCCATATGTTAAATTTATTCTTATACAAAGTTGACACTTGTAATACACAAACCTGCTTTGCATTTATACAAAGGAAACAAACTTAACTGTGTAGCCACTGCATTGCATTTTCCAAGTTCCTGAGGCCTCCTCATTCTATTTTATGATCTATTTTATGGTTGTGATACATTTGTCCTTGGGAAATGCCTTAAAAACATTAAAATAATTTCTTAGAATTGCTAAATAGTTGCTGGAGTATTTTAATTTAGTCTGCCTGAAACTGTTAATTTGATCTTTCATTCAGCCCATTTTTGTTGAGCATCTGCTGTGTTATAAGTGAAGCTGCAGTAATGAACAGGAAACAGACCTGCCCTCATGTTACTTTATAATTTAGTGGGAGAGAACATCTTGCAGGTAAAATGCAAATTGATAGACAGGATTATGTAGAAAACAGTGTTAATCTTTTCTTAAGTAAGAAGACATCTCAGTGACATCTTAGACTTGAAGGACAGTAGCCAGGCATGAGAATGAGAAGAGGACTGTAGGCAGAGGAGACAGCTGAGACCAGAAACATGCCAGAGCATGGTGTATTCCAGGAATTCCAAGGAAAGCAGCATCCATTAGGGAAAGAAGTGTAGGAAGTGGGAGGCCGGGAGGATGGTGGGGAGTGTAAAGGCTGGGGCCCCATCACAGAGGGGCTTTGAAGCTCCTGTGAGGAGGTTAGCCTTGATCCTAAGAGCAAGAGGAAGCCATTGGAAAGAGATTTTATTTTCGCCTGGGACATGATCTGAGTACACTTGAATTTCAGAAAGATCTTCCTGACTGCCATGTGGAGAATGGATTGGAAGGGACCAGACTGGAGCTAAGGATGCTCTTGGAGGATTTTGTGTATGGACAACACAGCCATGGAGGTTGGGTACTGCAGAGGGTGAGGGAGCATCATGTGAATGCCTGGCCCCTACCTCGTACTGTACATCCCGGACAGCCTTACATGGGGGCTCTGCCAGAGGAGAAATTATAGACATTTGTGATTGAGATTATTGTGGTCTAGATTTAGGCAGTGACAGTAGAGGTGAAGAAAAGCAAGAAGATCCACAGGCCTTGTAATGTATGGCTGTAAAGGCAAGGGAGTCAGGGAGATACCTGGTTTTCTGACTGGGCTTATCTGCCTGGAGAAGGGTACATGGGAAAAGGAGCAAGGTCATTTTTTGTTTCATCCTCAAAAGGGAATGGACTACTTACAGTGAAGTGTTAATGGCAGCTAAATTAAGTAACATCGAGTCTTCTTATTTATTTATTTTTTAAGAGTTAGGGTCTTGCTCTGTCACCCAGGCTGGGGTGCAGTAGCACCATCATAGCTTGCTGTAGCCTCGACCTCCTTGGCTGAAACAGTCCTCCTGCCTCAGCCTCCCAAGTAGCTATGACTATAGGTGCGCATGACTGTTCCTGGATAATTAAAAAAAAATTTTTTTTTTTCACTTTGGCCGAGAGTTCAAGGCGAGGCAAGAGGATCGCTTGAGCCCAGGAGTTCAAGACCAGCCTGGACAACATGGTGAAATCCCATCTCTACAAAAAGGACAAAAATTAGCCCGGTGTGGTGGTGCATGCCAGCAGAGTAAAACCCTGTGTCAAAACAAACAAACACAAATAAAAACAAAAAACAATACCACCACAAATTTTTTTTGTAGAGATGAGGTCTGGCTATATTGCCCAGGCTGGTCTCGAACTCCTGACCTCAAGCAATCCTCTCGTTCTCCCGAAACCCTAGGATTACAGGTGTGAGCCTTTTATCTCTGCCTTTTATCTGTTTAAAATCCAAGAGCTACTGATTAACATTAGGGCACATGCTACGATGTTTTCCATGGAAATGTCTTAAATTTGGGAAATTAAATATAGGCCAAAAAAGAACTTGAACTCTAATACTGCCTTGTAAATTATATGTTTGCTAAGTGTTTAGCAAGTGAAATCATTTTGCAGCCCTGAAATGTTAAATGAAGCCATTTTGTTCTTCCTGTGAACACATGTTAGAGATCTAAGTGATAAAATACCATAATTTTGCTTGATTTTCCGAAGTGTAATTTCTTGAGAAAAAGGCTCGAAGAACACTGGGGCCATGGAAGGAGATTAAATATTAATTTCATTTCACAGATTTTGAAATTTTAAAACATACATTGTAATTCAGAAGGTAAAGTTGGTCTCTTTTATAAGAACTCCCCCCAAAATGATAGTTACCTTAAATTTAGAAATGTGTTCGGAACAGCCGTGCACTTGGACTTGGCTGTGTTCACCACTTGCGCTTCCCTTGAGGCTGGAGTGATTTTATTGCCGGTGTTAGGGGAGGGTGTTGGGAAAGTACACACTTTGTACCATATTGCTTATAATTATGTCACTTTTCAGCAGTGAATGTTAGAAAGAATTTAATTGGTTCTCTAGTTCTTGTGTGTGTACTTTTCACATGTAGTGGCATTTCTTTTTTCTTTTTCTTCTTCTTTTTTCTTTTTTTTTTTTTTTTTTTTTTTTTTTTTTTTTTGAGATGAGCCTTGCTCTGTTGTCCAGGCTGGAGTACAGTGGCGTAATCCCGACTCACTGCAACCTCCACCTCCCGGATTCAAGAGATTCTCCTGTCTCAGACTCCTGAGTAGCTAGGACTACAGGTGTGCACCACCACGCCTGGCTAATTTTTTGTATTTTTAGTAGAGACGGGGTTTCACCATGTTGGCCAGGCTGTTTTTTGTTGTTGTTGTTGTTGTTGTTGTTGTTGTTGTTTGGAGAGATGGAGTCTCGCTCTGTCGCCCAGGCTGGAATTCAGTGGTGGGATCTTGGCTCATTGCTACCTTCACCTCCTGGGTTCAAGCAGTTGTCCTGCCTCAGCCTCCTGAGTAGCTGGGATTACAGGCATGGGCCACCATGCCTAGCTAATGTTTTTGTATTTTTAGTAGAGATGGGGTTTCACCATATTGGCCGGGCTGTTCTCGAACTCCTGACCTTGTGATCTGCCTGCCTCAGCCTCCCAAAGTGCTGGGATTACAGGCGTGAGTCACCGTGCCAGGCCCTTATGTAGTGGCATTTCTAACACAAAAGATTTATTTTTACCTAAAATGACAATACTTACTGGGTTGCCAAGGAGAATAGTTAAGTTGTAGCTAAAGATGAAAAGCCCAGAGTAGGCAAGTAAGAAAACCGAATTGGTAAAACTTCTTTCTCCACAGGACTTCTGTTAGTGATTTGTTCATGAACTTTGAAAGGAGCAATGGCAGTTCCTCCCCGATCTCCGTTCTACTCACCACATCCCAATACCGTAAAGTTTATGAGCAGAGGAATTTAACATAATGCATTTTAAGTTCATAAACTAACAAAATAACTTCAGATCTTTTAAAAATGCTTTTTAGAAGTTTGGCCTGCATTTCTACCTTTTTCACCATATTCTGTCTCCTCAGCTACCTCCTAACTCCCTGAACTTAAAACTCTCTGGGGTCGCTTTCCATTAATAGCTTTTGACTTTGTTTCTTATGCTTTGGAAATGTATGCCATAGCGACATTGCTATTTTAAGAGGCTTTTATATATTCACGTTTTCTCCCTCTTTTCTCTCTGTCTTCCCTTGCCCTTCCTTCTATTCCCCTTCTTATTCTTGCCACCCCACAACACCCCCCATTGAGAGATCCAGGCAAGATAGACTCCTTTGCCCTTGGTATTCCGTGGAAGTTCAGTGCTATCTGATCTCACTGTTAGGGAAACAGACAGCACATATTCTTACCTCAGGGAACTAAGATCTAGAGACCATCTGGAACCATCTCTGAGCTCTGTCATTGATGGGCAGTTTCACACAATCTGTTGATTGATAATGTTATATCAGAGCTTCAGTGTATTGCAAGCCATTTTATGGAAATACTGGTGATAAGAGTAACCTGATGTGACATGGTGCATGTGGAATACTGTGTTAGGTCCTCCCCCACCTCCCTCCTGGGGCAACAAAATGGCCATTCTGAAGAGAGAAATTATATTCAAAGAATTGTAGCATAAGGTTGAAATTATATTGTTTTATAAAATATCACTACAGTATAGAGATGTCATTAGAGAGCAGTACCAGTTAAGCAGCCATCATTTGCATATGCCTAGGAGAACGTTTTTAATAACTAACCTAGTTACCAGTAAACACACAGTTTTAATTTATTTCAGTTATTAACCATTAGGAAACTTCTTTAGGTTTTTTATCATTGGAATGATGTCAACAAGAAATGTGTAATCAGAAGGAAGAGATACTTTACTTTGCTGCAGATACTCAGAGCAGTATGTAGTGTTTTCATAGACCAGAGAGGAGCCTGCACTGTTATCATTTTTTGTGAAGAAGCTTTCAGCACACAGCTGCAAT
Source organism: Homo sapiens (assembly GCF_000001405.40). Lineage (NCBI taxonomy): Eukaryota > Metazoa > Chordata > Mammalia > Primates > Hominidae > Homo > Homo sapiens. The sequence goes on from NC_000006.12 coordinate 157,006,772, forward strand.
TTCTAAATTGAATATTTTTATTTCAGAATGGAAAAAGGAGACTTTATTCACAAGAAAGTTTACTTACCAGAAATTTTTTGTCTTTTTTCACGTGGAAGTAATCCTAAATTACTCTTCCTTAAATGGAAATGTTATCAGTTTGCTAAAGAAAAAATGCTGTGTATTCTAGGCACATGTGTGTACACACACACACACAGACACGCAAAGTTTATCAGGCACCATGATATGGTCCCATCCTTTAACTTTGTAATTCTGCTTTTGAGAATCTTTCCTAAGGAAATAATCCAAAATGTTGGGGACATGGGAGAACTGTGTGTATAAAGGCATTCCTTGGTATCTTATTTAGGCAACTGAAAAATTGGAAACACCCCTGAAGGACTCATGGAAGGGACGTAATTTAATGAATTCCCGCACATGCCTTCAAATGGAAATTCTTTGAGACTAAAGATAATTGTTACTAAAACTTTCAGGAAGGTAGAAAAATGCTTTTTAATGTTAAATTTAAATTCAGGAATTTCCCCTAGTTTTCTAAGTTTTCTGTATTTGTACTTATATTACTTTCATAATGAAGAGAAAGAATCCCAAAATGTTATTCTTTTCTGCTCTTTAATTGTTTAATAAGTATTGAAAATTGCTGCCAGACTAGGGTCAACGATTTTAGGCACTCTAAAGCTCTTCTTTAAATACATTAATGTTTTCTACATATTTTGGCAATGTTTTGTTAATTTAAAGCGAACCATTTAGCTTCTGTTACAGATTTGCACGTGCACACATAGACACAGCGGGAAGGATGAGCACTAGAATTTGAAATATTAAAATAGAAAGTAGAGAATTATAAGAAATGAGTCAGAGAGTTGTTGTAAGAAGATAATTGCAAAGAAAAATTTGTGGAACATCAGTGTTTTTGAAGTTCCATAGGAATTTTTGCAGCAATAGTTAAGGAAGCCCTAAGTTGTTTTTTTTTTTTTTTTTCCCCAAGACAGAGTCTCACTCTGTCACCCAGGCTGGGGTCTCCTGCCTCAGCCTCCCAAGTAACTGGGACTACAGGCATCCTCCACCATGCCCGGCTAATTTTGTGTATTTTTTAGTAGAGACGGGGTTTCACCGTGTTAGCCAGGATGGTCTCGATCTCCTGACCTCGGGATCCGCCCACCTCGGCCTCCCAAAGTGCTGGGATTGCAGGCGTGAGCCACTGCGCCCAGCCTAGGAAGCCCTAAGTTTTAAAAACTTTTTAAAGTTTAAATTAAGCAAAGAGCTTCATCAAAACATTTAAATTCGGCAAATAAGTGCTATTACAGAGATGCATAGATTTGTTTTTCCTTTTCTTACTTTCCCTCTCTTCCTCCTTCCTTCCCTTTCCTTCCCCCTTTTTTGTTGTGGTAAAATATACATAACATAAAGTTTACCATTTCAACGATTTTTAAGCACACATATTTCAGTGGCATTAAGTACATTCACATTGCTGTGTAGCCGTCACCACCATCCATCCATCTCCAGAAGTCTTTTCATCATTCCAGACTGAAATTCTGTACTCAGTAAACACTAACTCTTCATTCCCTCAGCCATGGCTACCCCATTTTACTTTTTGTCTCTCTGAATTTGACTACTCTAGGGACCTCCTGTAATCTTTCCCTTTTAACCTCCATGCTGCTAAGTATTATTGAAAGCCATTCCCTCATTCCAAAGTTACTGTTATCTTCTGTCTTCAAAGGCTCCGGTTCAGAGTCCATTTAGGGGGTTAAAAAACATGGATTTGCACCCTGATCTCTTCAGCTTAACTCAGACATCATTCTCTGACTTGGACACCTAATCACTGTGATTGCGATTTTTCATTACTGCATTCCCTATTAGTTGGAAGGATTTTAGGCAAATGTGACTTTGAGTTGGGTGGGAGGTGGTGGGAGGCCTTACCAAGCATGGCTCACTTAGCAGTATTGATACCCATCTCTCTGTAGAAGAGACCTCTGGGTACGGGATCGGCGGGGGAGGGGGGCGGCGCTCAGATGACAGCATGGGTCCTTCACTGGTCATCCTGACAGTGACTTGTCTGAGCTCTCACAGTTTGTAATGGGTGGTGGTGCTGGGAGCTGGCAGGTTTCAGTTTGACGCTAGCACACCCACCTTCCCAACTACTGCCAACTGCCTCCAGTGTTAAGATGTTTGGGCTTCCTTTAAGAATATAGTTTAGTTACAGACAATCTCGAAGAAGGTCAATAATTCACTGGGTTAGCTTTTAGGCCAACCCTTCATATAATAAAATAATCGGCTTCTTTGTAAATACCAGTCATTCCTCTGTGCTTGGCCTTTAAGATATTCTTCATATAGGGTTTAGGAGAAGGAAGCCCACTGGTTACTGAACTGAAGCAGCCATCAGCTACAGAGACAGTAGTGCTCACAGTCATTTGTAGGAAACTATAAGTGTTGATGAAAAACTGCAAGATTTCACTGGAAAACACAGTAGTTCTGTGTTGAGTAAAATGGAGGTGCAGTAAGGAAAGTGAGGCTTCAAGGTGGTAATGGCGTGCAAGTCAGTGTTTTTGAGCAGAGAAGTGATACGCACAAGGCTGTTAGTATGAGGAACTCTTCTCTCAATGACCTGGAAGAGATGACTAGAGGCAGGGAGGCCAGTTAGGAAACAGACAGAATAGCGGAAAAGTTGGCCCTAAACTAGGTGATAGTACTGAATATGGAAAGTACATTTCTCTTAGTTGAAAGGAGTTGATTAGAGACAAGTGTAGTTTCTAGACTGGGTTCTGCATATATAGTTTCATTCAACAAGTATTTATTGTATGTTACTATATTAGATATAAAAGCTTTATCTGAGCAGCACATACTCTTGTGAATGTCATAGCTAATATGACGCAAAATGCTCATCAATTGAGACATTTCACTAATGTTTAATTGATAGTGGTAATATTCATATTTGTTAATATGCTTTTCTAAGTGTTTTATATGCATTTATTTGTCAAGTCCCTTATGACATCTCTGTGCTATATAGTTACTTCTATGGCACCTGTTTGTAGAGGTGGAACAGCAAGGCACAGAGAGGTTAAGTAAGTCTTAAGTAGAATCCCTGTAGGGCCAGGATTTGAACACAGGTTGTCACCTACACAGCCCATGGTTTGACCCACCCCTTGAGTGAAGAATGTGATGTAATATAGCCAACCTGTGTTCCAGGACTCTACAAAAGATTGTGAAGTTCTGCTCTTTATGAAGCAATTTTTTAGTAGCTCTTACCCCTTCTCATATGAAAGAGTGTTAGGGAAATCTAGAATAAGAAGAGAATTTCTAAAACTAAATATTGTGAACTGTTTGGATTTTCTTAGCAATATGAGGGAACCTAAAGTGATCACACTTATACCACTGATTCACTGGTTTCACTCAGGGGTTTTGTTTTTGTTTTTCTCTATCTTTGGGTAATCTTGAATAGGGCCGAGCTATTATTTACTCCTGATCAGTAAAATTCTAGGCTTCTGTCTAATTTTGTTAACATTTATGCATTGCCTGTTTTTTTTTTTTTTTTTTTTTTTTTTGTTGTTGTTGTTGTTTTGGTTTGTTTTGGTTTGGTTTTGAGATGGAGACTAGCTCTGTTGCCAGGCTGGAGTGCAGTGGCTGATCTTGGCTCACTGCAACCTCCACCTCCCAGGTTCAAGCGATTCTTCTGCCTCAGCCTCCCGAGTAGCTGGGATTACAGGCAAGCACTGCCACACCCAGCTAATTGTTACATTTTTAGTAGAGACGGAGTTTCACCATGTTGGCCAGGACGGTCTCATCTCCTGACCTCATGATCCGCCCACTTCAGCCTCCCAAAGTGCTGGGATTACAGGCGTGAGCCACCATGCCCGGCCTGTTTTTTTTTTTTGCTTTGTTTTGTTTTGTTTTTTGTTGTTGTTGTTTTTAACTGTTCTCATGTAGCAAGACTTCTTTTCAGTTTAGGCAAAGCAACTTGTGTCAATTTATCTAAATTGAAATTTTGCATGTGTGAAACTGAAAAATCTTTCTCTAGTGCTTAATCCTTCACGATAAGAAAGTAGGTGTGACCTCTTTTGTTTTTAGCTATGAAATTGCTACTTTCCTATTTTTCCTTCTGTAGGAAATCTATAGATTGTGATCACTAATAGAACTATCATAGGGAATTATTAGTTTAACTTTTTAACGAAGGAAAAGAGACATGAGTCATGCAGTTAACTGCAACAGCCTGGTCCGAAGGCCAGGACACCTCTCATAGTTTTTCTTTTTTTCCTTTTCCCTATGGTGTGTGTTTTTTAAGTTTTTTTGGTTTTGCTTTGAGGGGGTGTAGAATGGGCAAATTGAATGGAGAAAGCATTCTGTACTTCTTTTCATTTGTTCTACTTTCTCTTTTACCTTTTGTTTTTAGTGCAGGTATGATAAACTCTTGGTGACTAATCATGGTCAAGGATTTCCATATTGTCATTAAAGCATGTATATATTATCGACATTTAAAGAGTTGGAAAAATGAACACAAGATAATTAGATTGCTATTTGAGGATTTTGTAGTTCCTTCAAGCTCTAATTAATTGTCCAAAAAGTATTGTAGTTCTATGATAAATTCCCTTGCATATGAATTCTACACCTTTAGTCAGTAGTTACAGCCAAAAACAAATTATGTAGCAGTTATGCCTTGATTAGTTAAAATGAACTAAGTGGAAAAATTGAAAAGAAAGCTTAATTGGTGTGAAGTATTGCATTATTTTCTGCTATGGGAATTTTTATGGTGAAGTATAAAATGAAAATGTGATATAAATTCATTTTAAAGTCTTGAGGAAAGAATTCTTTCCTTAGAAAGTTATGTTTTTATGAACCACGGTCCATGAACAACCGTTTCACAATAGACATAATGGTCCATAGTTTAATTGTAGTTGCATTTTATTTATTTTTGTATAGTGTTAATGTGAATATTATCAGAGGATTTGACTTTTATTACAAATGAATCTAAATGCATAAGCACCATAAGACTTCCTACTGTTGTCTTTCTCTACTACCTTATTTTGGTTGATACCTGTGTAGCATTTTTCAAAAGGTACAGTTATTTCTCAGAATTTATGATAATAAGGAACCGACAGATTCAGGAAGCATACTGCATTCCAGGTGTGAATAAGAAATCTATGCCTAGACCGAAGCTATAGAACATCAAAGACAAAGAGAAAGTCTAGAAAGCAGCCAGAGAAAAAGCGCAGCTCATCTATAAAGAAATAGACTGGCAGTAACACCATGGAACTCAGAAGAAACACATAAATGTCTATAAAATAGCAATTTAGCAAGACTGTTTCAAGTACTGTTCAAGAATTATGATAAGATGAACACATTTTAAACAACAGCTGAGGGAGTTTTACCAAAGATCTCTAAAATTCTTCTGAAAGAACTGCAGGATGTAATTAAGACAAAGGAAAATTATCCCAGAAGGAATACCTGAGATGTAGGATGGAATAGTAAACAGATAGAATGGCACAGTAAAGCCAAACAAACATGATATAACGTAATAATTGTGTTTAATTTGTGGAATTAAAGGCAAAAAACTGCAATGACATGAGTTAGTCCATGTTGAAGAAGTCCACCAGGCAGTTGTGAGAACATGGGAGTGGGCCGATAAGGCAGTTATGAGGGCTCCATTGTCAGCAAACAAGTCAAGTGTAAACTAAGAACAAAGTCACTTAGATTGAGAATACATGATGAGGATTAGGGCTACCTTTGGTGAATATATGGTATACTGGAGGCTAACTGGAGGCTGCCTTTATGCAACTGGCCTTGGTTGTCAGTAGTTGACTCTAGCCAACTGTAAATAGAAGACATTATTGGGTTGGTATACTGTAGTACAAAGAGTAACACCCAGGGGGCAAGAGACCTAGGCTTTAGTCTAATTTCCTCAAATAATTGTACGTGACCTTAGACAGTCATTTATCCTATTTGGCTTCCGTTTTCCTCATCTATGAAATAAGAAGTTATACTCTGTTAATATCCAGTGTTCGTTTCAGATCTATGAATAATACTGCAGATTAACAATGAAAGCAACAAATGTGCGCAAATAATAGGAATGGTATGGGACCTTACATGGTGAGGTTTTTAAGTATGGCATGAGGTTTTGTTTTGTTTTGTTTCGTTTTTTTGAAATGAAGTTTCGCTCTTGTTGCCCAGGCTGGAGTGCAATGGCATGATCTCGGCTCACCGCAACCTCTGCCTCCTGGGTTGAAGCAATTCTCCTGCTTCAGCCTCTCGAGTAGCTGGGATTACAGGCATGTGCCACCATGCCTGGCTAATTTTGTATTTTTAGTAGGGACGGGGTTTCTCCATGTTGGTCAGGCTGGTCCCGAACTCCTGACCTCAGGTGGTCCGCCCGCCTCGGCCTCCCAAAGTGCTGGGATTACAGGCGTGAGCCACGGCGCCCTGCCGGCATGAAGTTTTGAACTTGCCATTTTGCCGCTCTAGTGCTGCCTAAGGCACTTTGAAGGCAGTAATTGCAGAGGCATTTCGTGCCTTCAAAGCTCAGTCCCAACCTAAGTTCCTTACCCTCTGAGATGATCCCAGGAGTGGCCTCCTCTGTTGCATGACATTTAGATCCAGGGCTCTCTGAAGCCTATGGACTTAGTACCATTCATGTGAGATGGAGTGATGGCAGGAAAAGAATTCTGTGTTGCAACTGCTGTGCCCTGAAGTTGAGACCTCAGTTGAAGGTAATGATAAAAAAAGAAATGCTAGGTGCATTATTACTGCTTCATCTCTACTTCCTTGGGTTAGTTAAAAGGCATTTACCAGATTAGTTAACACTGAAAACAGGATCTGTCACGAGCCAAGTATTTCAGTGTGTGTTTTGTGTTTTGCTCAAAATAACCCTGGTATCCAACACTCACATTAAACACCACAGGAAGATTTTGGTTGAATGTGTACTGAAGGTTGAGGGGTGCCTGCAACGCAATCTCATGGACTTACCTTTTTTTCTGTACTGACTAGAAACTGATTGCACTATAGCCAAATTACATACCAGCACAAAGGGAATTCAGCGGCAGGCCTGAACAGAATAGAAGTGACAAGCAAGAATCAATTAAAGGAGTCAGCCCCCTGGGTCTGTTCAGTAACACAGGCTAGCACTGTGGGAATCTTATACTCGGTGCTTTGCTCAAGATCAGTGCCTTGACTTTGTACATTGCTAATGCACACACAAAACCTTTGGGTATCATGAAATTTTTGATGACATTATTGAATATTTGAATATTGCTGGGTGTTTTTTGTTTTGTTTTTGGTGACTCAGCGTATAAACCTGCTTTCTTTGGGGGACAAAAGAAAGGTATGGAACTTAAAACGCAGCATGTATTTTCTGCTACTGAATCCAAAGATCGTAGATGCTACTGAGGGAGCATGTGACTAATGACTAAGGCTTGGCCAGCCATTAGCTCTTGCCTGATTAAACTCCACAGACTTTGGAATCTAGCAATATTGTCAGCATCGTGTGTCCATTATTAGAATTGTTGGTGGTGACTTTCTGGGCAAATTATTTCTTTTGACCAGTCTCCCTTGGTTCTTACCTTTTATGCAATCCTGGTTCTCCACTACTGATTCTGTAAACTAATCCAATATTTTTAATGAAATCCGCTTCCTTAGTTAGCTAAATTCAGTTTCGATTCTTTCTAAGAATCCTGATTGCTACAGTTAGGAAATCAGCTATCATATGAGTTTTAAAATAAGGGGAGGTATGCTATGAATTATTGGTAAGTAGGGTCCTGCTTTGAAAGTGATGAGAGAGACTCTGTACTTTAATAGGTTAAAACTTATTTGTAATTATGTTGCTGTGGAATATAAGCAGTTTTTTTCATCTCACCCAATACAGCTACTAGGCTTTATAGATGTATGACAGAGTTACCATGTGCAATAGAGTTTGGGGTGATACCAACACCATTGAATTAATCAGTGTTTTGATAGAAGGGTGATCATCTGAATTCCAAATTTGAGGAATACAATAGTTTTCAGTTAAATATGAATCTTTAGATTGGCATCTAGAGCCATTAAATTTCCTTTGTAAACTAAAGCATGATGAGTAAAAAATTACCAATTACCTTATGTATACTAAATACTGTACTAGTCTCTGTATTATGCCAGGAATAAAAAAAAAAAAAGGATAGCACAATAATATGCCACTCTCCATCTTATAGAAACATGCAGGCTAAAGTAAAAAACAAATAATCAGATTATTATAACTCAGTATTTTGAAGAGCAGCTGGCTAATCTGACTCGAGGGCATCAGACTGGGAAAGACGAGATGACATTTGATGCCACGTGTCTTTTAATCCAGCATTTTTCACACAATGCCCTGCACGTCGTAGCTACTGAGAAAATATTTGGGGAGTAAGTTTGAACGGAACTGTGACTTGAAGAATAAAGAGTTGATGAGAGCCTGATGGAGATATAAAGAAACACCAGGGATATGATTTCTGATTGGAGCAATACAAGGAGAAATGGATAAGTCCCGGAGTTTTGAGCTTGGGCAGATTGGGAAATAGTTTGTCAATAACTGACAATACAGAAGTTAGTTAGGGATCAGCAGAATGATGAGAGAAAATTAATTTAGTTTTTGACATGTTAAATTCAAGGTTTTTGAAGGACATCCTCATGGGACTGTTTAGTGTGCAGTTGGAGAGGTCTGGTCAGTCCTGGAGCTTGGGTGGAGGAAACTAAGACACAGATTTGGGATTCACCACAATATTTGATATTTGAAGCCATATCTGATATTCTCCTGGGTGTGAATGAGATTGCTCAAGAAAAGTGCGAAGACTGTCTCTGATAGATCCATGAGGAAGATAATACTTTTAAATTTGACACTTCTAGAGCTGATCAGAGTTATTCTAAAGGGGACCCACTGTAGTTAGAACACTTCTGTAGCCTGTTTCTATTGGGAGCAGTTGGTTCTCCTGACTTCAGAGTTTCCCAGGTGCTGACTTACCGTATAACCCTGCGTTTGCTGTCATTCTGTCTTCACTTCACTGCTTTCATTCCTGGCACGATAGTAAAATTGTAGATGTTCTCCTGTCCTCATTGTGCCAATCACAGCATTACTCCGACCCCACTGCTACATACATCCCCCAACCCTCAGAAAGAAACACAAAGCTGTGATGTGAATCCTGCATCTTCATTGCCTTCAAGACAGCAAAAATTAGACCGGTTCAGAGCCTCTTGATACATCTGTAAGGAGATATCTTCTCACAAATGGAAACTCTTTTCAGTTTGCTCAGGAGAAGGGTTGGTAGAAGTGGTTCTTTTATCTCGGAAGACATTTGCCTAGTTTAAGTACAGTACTTGAGCCAGCCTGGCTTGTAGACAGTGTCTGTCAAATTACTATTGGCTGCTATTTTTGCATTATTAGAAACATTTCAGTATTAATCGTTATTTCCCCTTTTAATGCTTTGTGCTGTATTTTCACGTCAATAATCACTGATACATTTATATGCAATTATGTCTTCAGTTTTTAAAAAAAGAGCCCCCTCAATGTAATTTTAAACTTCAATACTCAATTGCAAATAGGTGCCACCATCGCCACCCCCCACCCCAAATATCTAGATTTGTCCAGTGTGGCTGTTGAGCACTTGAATTGTGGCTACTTTACAAAGTGAGATCTGCTTCAAGTAAAAGATACACATCAGATTTTGAAGACATGGCATTAAAAACAAAGTAAAATACAGCAAGTCCTTGAATAATATTGTTTTGTTCAATGTTGTTTCCTTATAACTTGGAGGAGAAAAAAAAATATCGATTCCCAGCTGGGACCACTGTCTGTGTGGAGCTTCCTCCTACATCCCGAAGATGTGCCAGTTATGGGACCTGGCATGTCGGCATGGTCTCATTGTGAGTGATTGTGGGTGTGTGAGTGGCCCTGCAATGGAGTGGCATTCTGGCCAGAGTGGGTCCCGCCTGTGCTCTGCAGGGATGGGCTCTGCCCATGTGCGACCCAAACTGGAATACTTGGGTAAATAATGATATTACTTATTTTTACTAATCTTTCTTAAATGTATGTATAGCTCACGTTTGTTTCGATGTTTAATATTGTAAGTATTTTGAGTCTTATTTCTTATTTATATCAATTGGCCCATGGAAAACTTGGTTTCCTGGTAGGGCATTTTACTTGAAGTCATGCCTTCCAAGGAACCTATCAATGTTGTTAAGTGAAGACTTACTGTATCTCATTAATTTTGTATTGCTTAAAGGTTGAAATGATAAAATTTGGGGTATGTTGGGTCAAATAAAACATGTTATCAAAATAATTCCACCTGTTTCCCTTTGCTTAGTGTGGCTGCTAGGAAATGGTAAATTACAAATGTAGTTGGATTGTATTTCTGTTGGACAGGGTTGCTCTAGACAAACCTACACCAAACACAACTTCTGCGCCCCAGGGAATGGACCTTCCCTGTGGACTTGTTATAGTGGTGGATTGCCCTTGTTTCAAATGTCATTGCCCAGTGTAGAAACCTCTGGTAATCCATCAACAATTCTGGTAAATTTTAAAGCCACATTATTGATTAGGGAGAGTTTTGGGAAGGCAGATTGGGAAATAATTCATACTCACTGAGCTACTCAAGAGTAATACTTCCAATCAGTAAAACATCTATTGGGGACCACAGGAAGATGTTCTTTTTGTTTGTTTGTTGTGGCTAATAGATGACTATTAGATTTTATAAAATATGTTTGTTTTGGCTATTAAATGACTATTAGATTTTATAAAATATATGTTTACTTACTACCTTGTTCCCAAAGGGATTTAAGGCATTTAGTTAGCATCTTTCTTTAGGAATTCATCAGTAGTAACAAATGAGCAGTGCTAGTTGAAATTCTAAAATAAAAACTCATATTCCTCTAGGTAATTGCTTTTTAACCTTTTTAGGGGTCTTTCCTGAGACCAGACTGCATTCATCTGAAAACAAACCTGTAGTTAGGACAATCCATGAGTAAAGAAGGCCTCATATTTAGAATGTCATAGCTTCTCAGAATCTGCTTTGAAATTGAAAGTCAACATAGCTCCTTCTGCTGTGGTGCAAATGTCTAGAGCCTAAACATCTCTAAAATGGAAACTGGGCTGGGTGTGGTGGCTCATGCCTGAAATCCCAGCACTTTGGGAAGCTGAGGCAGACAGAAGGATTGCTTGAGCCCAGGAGTTGGAGACCAGCCTGGGCAACATGAGACACCATCTCTACAAAAAAAAAAAAAAAAAAATTAGCTGGGCATGGTGTCATGTGCTTGTAGTCCCAGTTACTCAAGGGGCTAAGGTGGGAGGATAGGTTGAGCCCAGGAGGTTGAGGCTGCAGTGAGTCATGATAGTGCCATGGCATTCCAGCCTGGGCAACAGAGCAAGACCATGTCTCTAAATAAAAGTAAAGTAATAAGTAAAATGGAAACTGACTTGTTTTTAGTAGGAAAGAATGTCTAAACAAAAAGTAGTATGCTTTTTTTTTTTTTTTTTTTTTTGAGATACAGTCTTGCTCTGTTGCCCAGGCTGGAGTGCAGTGGTACAACCTCGGCTCACTGCAACCTCTGCTTCCCAGGTTCAAGTGATTGTTCTGCCTCAGCCTCCCAACAGCTGGGACTACAGGCATGTGCCACTACACCCAGCTAATTTTTGTATTTTTAGTAGAGACAGAGTTTCACCATATTGGCCAGGCAGGTCTCGAACTCCTGACCTCATGATCCTTCCGCCTTGCCCTCCAAAAGTGCTGGGATTACAGGCGTGAGCCACCGTGCCCGGCATAACTATTTCCTTTTTATGATAAAACTCTGCTTCCTGGAGATACTTGTCAAAAATTATTACCCATCTACATGTGAGACCTTCAGGTCTCAGCCTTACTCTTCGTTTACTAATCTGAAGTTTTGGATTTCTGGCGTATGAGAATTTCTGGTTTCCAGCACATCTCTTTCATTTCTGCTTAAATTTAGTAGCTAAATTAATCTGTAGCAAACTTTTCTATGGATTTTTGCAGGTGGGAAAATATACATAAATTCACAATGGATGGACCTTGCCTTCATAGAGGTTAAAAGGAAAATAGACATATATGTGATTATATATACAACAGTAAAATTCTATCAGTCCAGTGCAGTAGTACATAAAGTGCAGTACATTCCAACCATGGGGGGTCAGGGAAGACTTGGAAGCATGACCTCAAAGGGCAAATGTACAGGGAAAGTGAAGGGATCTGTATGAATAAAGGGCTGAAAAAAAATACGGTAGGCTCAGCACAGAAATCATGACAGGGTGCTTCATATTCCAATAATGAGTTGAGGTAAGGGGTGATATCATATGGCAGATTAGGAACAGATTCTCCAAAGCCCTTTATCCCGAGGTAAGAAGTCTAGACCCAGTTCTGTTGGTCTGAGGGATATTAAGCAGAATGACATGTTCAAATCTGTTATCTGAAGAGGACACTGGGGGCACTGTGAGGGAGAATGGGTTGGAAAGAGCCTGGTGTCAAGGAAACCAGTTTCACAGTATTCTAGGCTTAGGAGGAGAGATGCGAGTCTCAGTTAAGGCATTGGTAATGGGAATGGAGGCTAGTCTGTATTTCAGGAATGGTCAGATGATGTTTATAGCCAGCATCTGGTAAGTGCTGATTTCATTCTCATAACAACCATCAGAGCAGACTGTCGTCATATACATGAAGAAGCTGAGGCCCAGAGATGCTAAGAAACTTGTCTAACTTCTCCAAAGCCACTGCTTGGAGGAGTTAAATTTAGTTCTGTTTAGTGTTACCTGAGTCCATGTTTCACTTCCTATTTCTCTCTAGATTTGGAGGAAAAAGCAGTTCTGAAATTGTAAAATTTCTAGCCTGGTGGCTTTTGCTTTCATTAAGGAAGGAGGGAAGAACTTGTCCATTAAATGTTGGTACTCCTGAAGGTTCTGTTTTAGGCTCTATCGTCCTTTGTGATGCCTTTTTATGATAAAACTCAGTCATCCACGCTCACTCAACTGTCATCTAATTGCCTGCGAATCCATGTTCTTTAGTCTCCTGCAACTTGTGCCATGACCTGTATTTCCTGCTGCCAGCGGGTCACCTCCGCGGATATACCACAAGCATGTCAAATTGCCGAGGACACAACCATGCCATTCATTCTTCCCACCAAGCCAAAAGAAAATCTGGGTGTATCTGGACGACTCCTGTCTTCCCCTTCATATGCAGCCATTATGTTTCTAGAGCTAGAACCATCTGAAAATCTTAAGTCCTTTAGGGTTTTTTCGCCCCCTGCCTTTCTCTTTTAGCAAAGATAAATAAAAAGTGAAACAAATTGGCACAACTTGGAGGATGAAGAAGTAGCAAAAGACAAAGCTGTTAGAGGGATAGGAGAAAGTCATTTCAGGAAGGAGGGAATAGACATAACAAGCAAATTTGCCGTTCAGGAAATGTTTTATTTAAGAAAATTAATAATATTTAGAAAATAAATTGGATGGAAATAAATTTTTAACATTCCTTCTCTGATGAAGAACTGACCTAAAATGTAGTTAGTTCTTTATTCTTGCTTTTTAACCTTGTAGATAACATCATGTTAGTCATTTACCCCCATACAAGTTGAGCACTCTGTAAGGGATGTAATTTAAACATGTCTCAAAACCAAAAACCAGTCCATGGGCAGATCTTTTTATTGCGATAATATATAACTACATAACTGTAAATTGGAACCTAAAAATATATATTTAATATGAAATTAATTTTTTTTAATTAACCCAAACTTTAACTTTTTTATAAGGGGTTGTGTTTGAATGCTTTAGCCACTAGGCATGTGTTTTTCTTTCTGATGCTGTTGGAGCTATAAATAGTAGGTAGAACTGAATGAGATGGCATCACATAAACAACAGCCTAGCTTGGTCATTTCTCCTACTCAGATCGCGAGTCAAAATATTAAACAGTGGTGGTTTCAAACTATATGTAATTTCCTCAAAATTATGCTTCTCTAATATTTTTTCCATCGCTTTTTCCTCACCAAAGATTTGTTACCTCTCCCCTTATATAACTCTTGGTCATAACTCAATAAATTATTTTTTTAAGGAGTGGTACGTGAGTTTATGCTGTACGTGGTTTCTTTGGCTGATCTACTTGAGTCCTTAATTTTCTTACAAAAAGTAACCTGGAACTTATGGCTAGAAACGATACATTCTTACAATATTAATGGCCGAAGGAACGTTACTTCTTTGCAGAATTCGATAAAGAAATGAGAAATTCGGGGACCCGGAAACTTTTAGCGCTTGCCCTGAACAGCGGCCCGGAATCTCCCGCCCACCCGTCCCTGCCCGGATGCCTGCGCGGCGGCGGCGTCCTTCCCTCCTCGGCTGCGCTTTTACTCTTGGTCAGGGCCCGCTTGAGAGAGGGGGATTTTAGAGAGAGGGTGTGAAGGACGCAGGACCGCTTTCAGGCCGCCAGCTCTCAGGCCTCGCTTTCCGGTCCTCACTGCGCGTCCACACCTCGCCTTGGTTTCTTTTGTTTTATTCAAGCCCCGGCCCCGCGGTACAGCGGGGAGACTCGCCCGCGCCCACGGAAGAAGCCGAGCTCCTCCGAAGGGAGAACCAGTGATTCCACGGACCCCGGAATCCCCCGGGAGTGGGACCACCAGGCAGCGGGCGGAATTAACCCTGCCGCGGAGGCGCTGGGCGAGGATGAGGGCGGCGAGCGCGGAGGGGACCGAGTCACACAGCAGCCCGGCGGCCTCTGCCGGCAGGCCCCGCTCGCTCCTTTCGGCCCGACCCGGGCGGGGGTTCCGGTGCCGCCCTCCCTACCCCGCACGTAGGCTCGTGGGGGCGGGGACAGGGGGACGAAAACAACCGCGTCCTCAGCCTGACTGAACAGGCTCGGACTCCTCCGACGGCGCCGCGCCGCGCACAGATGAGCCTTTGTGGGACCCCGCGGAAGGAGGCGCCGGCCGCAGCCACATTCCTTTCCGGGCAAGCGCGGCCGCCGCCTGCAGGCACCGTCCGCCCCGCGCGCCCGCAGGCTCCTCCTGGAGGCGGGAGGCGGCGGCCGCTCGCACAGCGTGTTTTCTAAAGTTTCTGCTGACACAGCTTCGCGTACACATGAGCCGGCGCGGCCAGACTCACGCAGGCACCGAGTGTTTCCCCTGCGCCGTCTCGCGCCGCCGCCCCGCTACCTCGCCGCGCGCCCCTAACCTCTGCGTCCCGCGTGGCGCGCCCAGCGCTTAAGGTTTTATTTTTCCCCTACTTCCTTTGGTGCATCTCTTTCCCCCTCTCAAAACCACCACCCAAACTTAAAGGCTGGATGAGTTGGAACCCGTTCGCGTAATTAAAACGAGTGGCTGACGGTGGAAAAGCCAGGAACTACAGACGAAGGACGCCAGCAGGGCCGCGGAGCCCAGGCCGCCAAGAACAGGGCGGGGAGGCGGGGCGGGGCCGCGGAAGGGGGCGAGGTGGAGGGGCGGGGCCGGCGGGAGGTGGGCGGGGCGAGGCTGGCAGGCCGCCGCCATTGGCTGTTACCCGACGCACCGAGGCTGGGCGGCTTAGCCAGGCACTTGGATTCTATTTGTGTAATAGCTGCTTCTTGGAGCCAAGTGCATGCTCATCAACCTTCCTTGCTGGGAAAACCAACTCACAGCATTTTTTAAAAGCCGAGAAACGCCTAGGCTTGTAAAGTTTCATCTCCTGCCTGTGCTTTCCTGTTCTTAATTAAATGCTGAAGAGTCTTGTCGGGATATTACTTTTCATCCTGTCTCTGCCATGGAGACTTTGGGATCACTGGGTGGTCTCTTGGTCACTTGCAGGTGTTTTAGGTAGGATGTTGCAATCTGCAATCTAGGAACATTTGACGACTTTTTCAAGTAAGCTAAACAACACATGAAACTATAGTAGATTAACCAAGACATGCATTTAATCCAACTAGTAGCAATCAGCGACGGCCACTTTGGTTTTACACTTTTTGTTCACTCTGTGAACTATATAATTTGACCATAAATTCTAATTTGTTCTCTTGTTGATAATTCTTATGCAGATAACTTATAACTTATGTGTGTATTTTTATCAGACTCAAAGCAACTTAATTTTGGAATTCTGCAAATTTAATTGATGATCCATTATAACAACGTAGGGTTAGGGTTAGGGTCAGTTTTCGGTGTTGATGTAGAGACAGAATCCAAAAGTATTTTGAAATGTTTAAGAGAAATGGCCTTGAAGAGTTCTGAATATTAACATTCTTCTGTTTTTATGCCTTGTAGTGTTTACCGCACGTGTGAATATGCATAGAAATTTTCATGTAGCAATTTCTGTGTTTGTGATCTGTATACAGATTTTATAAAAATAATAGCAGGGACATTTCTGACCTTGATCATTGTTGTTAACTGATGACATTTGCCAGTTACAGTTTAAATTAAGTTGAATTTATTATTTAGGTGTTTCATAAGAAGGAGTGAGTTGCATACTAGGATATACTCTTGTATTCCATATCCTCTCCTCACTCCGGCGCTTCCTAACAGGAAGAGCAAATGCATTGTGAGGATAAACACTGATTGGTTACTATCTGTAGAGCAGGATTAGCAGCTCTTTTTAGATTTTGAGCTGCAATCTCTTTTAATAGTGCTTAAATTGATGCAGGTCAGTGAATTTTGTGTTTACAGGCTTTTAACTCCCTAGCTTTGTGAATACTGAATTTATGGAAAAGCTTAATTTTCTCTGTATCTCAGAAGGGATATGTACAATTAAAAAAGAAAACAATACAAATTATTTTACATAAACTGGAGCAATTTGGAAACAGTGTAATAAGGGTTGAGTAAAAGATTTCTCCCCATCGTCGTGGCATATTCTACTGTTACACTTACCTGCCATTGCTCATAATGGGTCTGACGTTGTAGGTACATCTAAGTGTGGTTTGCAGTCACTATTTTATGTTATTTGGAAAGTCTTGGATTTTAAAATGTTAACCCAAATAAATATCAACAAGGCATATCTATTTGGGAGTCACTTATGACTTCTGCCCCTCCAACAGTAATTTCTATTTGCTGCAAACATTTGCCAAGTTTACGGCAAATTTTGAAGTTAAACTTTGCCTACCTAATATAATGAGTGTGTGGTTCCTATGCTCCCCTAGGTTTGCCAAAGGTAGTCTTGATGTAAATAATACATTCAAGTGAGATGTCAAGCAAGTGTATGGCTTGACAGATTTTGCATGTAGATTGTAGCTAGTTATCTCAGGTTATTTATTCTTTAAACTTTCACCAATTTACCCATTTTAAAAATAGTGAATTTGTATTAAAAATAGTTGGTAACATAAACCATGGCATTCAGCCTACATTTCATATGAGATTTATCTGCCTGTGCAGAGATGTTACTTAACTTGAAGGCCTCTTTGTGGAAGAAAGATTTGTCTTCCAACATTTTGCGTCAGCAGTGCTGAAGTGCCACTCTGTGGAAGTTGCTTCTTATGGCCTTCCTGCCACAAAAATGATATGTGGTTTAACTCTTTCAGGAACTGGGGTCATTTCATCCCAAACGCTGACCAAGGTTGTTTATAAACTCTTAGAAAAACATAACATAAATGAATCTTACTGCCAAGTGACAAGTTTCTTTTTATGTTTGGTTGTAAATTATTTCAGAAACCTCATTTTTGTTTAAAAAGCAGATTTGTATGAACAAAATTGAGTGAACAAATTGAGTCCATTTAATATTAAAATGTTGAAAGGGCTTACTTGGTGTAGATGTTTCAAACATCAAAAATCTAGCTTTTCGGGGCTGGATGCAGTGGCTCATGCCTTTAATCCCAAAACTTCAGGAGACTGAGGCGGGCAGATCACTTGAGGTCAGGAGTTCAAGACCAGCCTGGCCAACATGGCAAAACCCCATCTCTACTTAAAAAACAAAACAAAACAAAAAACAGCCAGATCTGGTGGCACACACCTGTAATCCCAGCTACTCAGGTGGCTGAGGCAGGGAAATCACTTGAACCTGGAGGCAGAGGTTACAGTGAACCTTGACTGCACCAGTGGACTCCAGTGTTGGCAACAGAGTGAGATTCTGTAAAACAAAACAAAAAAGAAAAAAAAACCCAAAATCTGGCTTTTCATCCTTGAGACTACATTTCAAGCTTTTTGCTATTGAGTAGAAAGGAACTTCATGGTGTAGTTCCATACATTTCTGAGCTATAAGAAAAAGGTATAGTGATGATGTGTTAAGTGCCATGCTTCAGATCTGAAGGTTGTGTAATAATTTTCATGACTGCGCTTGTACAGACGATTTCACCATTGGCTGCAGTTCTGATTTTAAGTTCATTTGCTCGTTTTCATGTTGAAGTTGACATTTATATGTAGTTGTATTAAATAACAAAGAATTTTAGTAAAT
Source organism: Homo sapiens (assembly GCF_000001405.40). Taxonomy (NCBI): domain Eukaryota; kingdom Metazoa; phylum Chordata; class Mammalia; order Primates; family Hominidae; genus Homo; species Homo sapiens. The sequence continues at coordinate 157,025,088 of NC_000006.12, forward strand.
GATTCCTTTCTTACTCCAAAGCAAAAAACTCAAAAACTTTGACCTCCTCCATAAGAAAAATGTAGCAATTCCCAAATTATGCAGAAATGTCTAGAAATTATCAAATGTAAAATTTAACTCTATATTCTAGAACACTTTCTCAGAACAAAAAGATGTGTTACACGGTGGAAACTAAAGGAATTTTAAGATGAGAAACTATAGGATATTGTTTGAATTCATGTCTGAATATTTGGACAAGATGAAAGTTTTCTGAGCATTGTGGATGGATTACTATGTTGAGAAATGCATAACAATGATGTGTAAGGCAGAACAGTATTCTAGTAGGACGGTAGAACATTCTTGTTACCTTAACAAGTTCCCCTCTATCTTTATAGTTAGTCCCTCTCTGTTAACACCCAAGTCCTGGCTGCCACAGATCTGTTTTCTTTCTCTGTAGATTGGCCTTTTCCAGAATGTCATATGAATGGAATCATACAGTGGGTGGCCTCTTGAGTCAGGCTTCTTAGCACAGTGCATTTGAGAGTCATCCATTTCCTTGTTTGTATCAGTAGTTAATTCCTTTTCATTGGTGAGTCGTTTTCCATTGTTTGGCTATGATCATAGTTTTGTTTATCCACTCATCAGTTGAAGGGTATTTGGATTGTTTTCAGTTTTTGTCAACTATGATGAAAGCCTCCCTAAACACTCTCATATAGGTTTTCATGTTAATATATTTTCATTGCTCTTGGGTGAATACCTAGAAGTAGAGGATTGCTGGATCATATAGCAGACTGCATTTACCTTTGTAAGAAACTACCAGGCTTCTTCTCCAAAGTGGCTGTAACATTGTGCTGGAATAGATTTTTTTTTTTTTTTGAGGTGGAGTCTCGCCCTGTTGCCCAGGTTGGCGTGCAGTGGCACAATTTCGGCTCACTGCAGCCTCCGCCTGGTGAGTTCAAGAGATTGTCCTGCCTCAGCCTCCTGAGTAGCTGGGATTACAGGCACCCGCCACCATGCCTGGCTAATTTTTGTATTTGTAGTAGAGACAGAGTTTCACCATGTTGGCCAGGCTGGTCTCAAACTCCCGACCTCAGGCGATCCACCTCAAAGTGCTGGGATTACAGGCATGAGCCACTGCGCCAGGCCTATTTTTAAAAATCAGATCTCTCCTTTGACTCCAATGTTTTTATCATGGAAAGAGACAAATCACTCATATTTTCTTTTTCCAGACAATACTGCTTTCTGTGGTGTAGCCAAAAGACTCGTCTTTTCCATGTTCAGGTAATTTATTCTTTGGGAGAGCACTGTAATCATATATCAATCGTATTTTAAAGTGACTTTATTATTTAATGTCAAGATGTACCCTTGATATGAAGTAGTTTTATTTAATAAAGCAGCAACAGATCAAGAGCACTTGGTCTAGAGGAGTATGCTGACAAGTGGCGGCGCCTGCCTTCTTCTCGGGGCCAGTCTTCATCTCAGAGCTGTCTAGCTTTCAGGTTTGTCTTCATTGCTTCCAGTCTCACCTAAGCCTCATGAATCCTCAGAGACCTATTTCTTAGGTGAGTAGAGGAGTGTTTGTAATCATCACTGTGACTTGTTTTTGTGCTAAAATACCCTTTTTATTTTTGAGATGGGGGGGTCTCACTATTTTGCCCCAGTTGGTCTCGAAATCCTGAGCTCGAGCAATTGTCCTACCTCGGTCTCTTTATTAGCCAGGATTACAGATGCGTGCCACTGCGCCTGGCTATTAGAAGATGCACTTTTTAAAGAGGTGAAGGGGAGCAGAGTGGAATAGTGGTATTGTGACAGTTACCTGGAAAACTTCTAACTCCTCTTCCTAAATTTACCTCTTACAGAGTGTCCTGTATTAGGTAGCCTCAGTTTCCTTCCCATGTAATGCATACATAGTTATTTGTTATTATTGCCCTTAGCAGGTAAGGCTGTATTAAGCAATTTATGTGAGAGAAGAAAGGGAGATGACATGATTGGTGGGGAGCCAGTTTAGTTAAGTTTCTTTGGACAAATAGGACTTTTGAGAAATCTGAAAAGAATAAAAAAAAATAGTTGTCTGTCTTCCCTAGAGTCATTTTTTCTTAGCTTCAAACTTATTAGTTTACCTAATTAAATAGATTCTTCAAAATAAGTTTCCTCTAACACAATAATTCATCTTAAGGTAAAAGATAAAACTCTGTGGTTAAATTTCAGTATACCTAATCTTACATTCTTTCTTTTATTGAATTGTCTTTCCATTCCAATTTGATAATCAAAATAATACTATACTATTTAATTTGAACTTTGAAAGGTTTTAAATATGCACTGTGATAAATGTCTTTGGTCGTAACCACTATTTCAGTGTTTTGAAACCCCCATCTGTTTTGGTAGAAGTATTTTAGGATAAGAAAGAAGTTTTGTCATCTGTTAGTTTTTTGACATTTGGACCCAAGTGACAGAGTTGGGGGCAGGAACGTTTGGACAGGGAACAGGGCAGCAGAAAGAAAACCAGTGACACACAATCGAGATGTATGAACAGCCATTTGCTGGCTGTAATAGAAGTTTCATTTGCTGATCTAAAAATGTATTTGTTTTTAAAACACCTTTTCATTCTCACCTAATCAATAAAGTCATCTTTATTGCACCTCATTTTCTTTGATACCATAATTAAGTTTTACATGCCTCTATCTTGGGGATGGCCATAGCCTGTGTGTCCACAATATGTCTTCTACATAGTGACTTTGTAACAACTTTCAGCTTCCTTTTCTAACTTCAATGGCAGGGTGGGACTGGGAGAGGGATTTAAGTATGATCAAATAGTACCTTAGCCACAATTTTTATCTTTTAGTACTTCCGTTGATTTATCCAGGTATTTTTTAAATGTAAGATTTTCCTTTTTATGAAATGTCAAAATTAGGAAAAGAGTTTATTTATTACATTTTTGGAGAATCTAAACTTACCAAGCTGTAGCATAAGACATTGGCTTCATAAACTGTGTGTGTATGTGTGTGTGTGTGTAAATGGTTGGGTAAATTGGGAAGTATTGCTTAAATAAAATGGCATTGAATTATGACCAAATTATATCACATAATGCAAGATAAATATTTAGAATATGACTAAACATTATCTCACTTTTTGTAAAGTTTATTAACTACCACTTACTTAGTGCTCATATGTTTTTTAACAGTCCCTCACTGCCTGGACACCCATCATTTTTATTTTCCTTCATCAAACTTTCTAGAATTTAGGAATAAGTATAGAAAGTGTTAAGAAGAAATAGTTATTAATTTGAATTATACAGAAAAATCAATCATGTAGAAATAATAATGTAATGAATAAGTATTAGTGTTTTCTAATTTAATAAGATACAGTTTACATAAAGATCTAAAGGGAAAGCATTGCTTTTATTGAAAGTACTACCTGTTTTCAAAATGTTTGATACATACACATGTGTTGCATTGGAAAGGCCAAATGAAATAATGAATAGATAACTATATTTTGGTCTATATTGTTCATGATCTCATAGCCATGTTTTTTGATAAACGCTGGAAGTATGGAAATGATGAACTTTGATACATGTGATTTCCTTAGGTATAGTGTTCTTAATGCCCCCAAATCTACAAATAATGTCATCATGTAACTGACAGGGTTACACTATTCCACTGTCTCAAGAAAATTATTTATGGAAAAGGTATGGTACTGTGACCACATAAGCCTTCTGAGTGCCGCTATTCTTCTGTAGAATTTGGGCCTGTCAGTCTCCTTTACAATCATGCCCTGTAGCATAGGCAGATATTCTTACCATCCACTGTGTTGTGGTCAGCCAACCTAAATTGGAAAGCTCAAAATTACTTTTTAAAATTGTTTGGAAGGATTGCGAACTGTATGTATTTTTATAAAATATTTACTGTAGTCTAACTGGAGTTATTTATTGGTATGATTCAAGTCTAGAAGTCATTACCTCTTAACTCAGGATGGATAGAAAAGATCTATCTTTGAGCAACATACATACTCATTTTATTGCCATCAGTTTATAAGAACTAATCCTTTTTAAGGAATTTAAGGTCTACTCTTGGCTAGAGAGACAAATGCATCAAATGCATATATATGTATTCAATATAGCAAAATTGGTTTTTGGTTTGATTTTTAGTAACAGTCATGTGTAATGCATGCAAGCATGTATCACCAACCACACATATGACTTCTACTTATATAGTTATATTAGGTAGAGCATATTTTAAACCTTGTTATATCCCCACCTGTGTCATAATGAGCTGTGTCAAATTTGGGTTCATACACATGTATTTATATTTTTATTGTTTTGTTATAGTCTTTAGCGCATTCATTCATATACATTTATTCAACAAATATTTAGTGAGCTCCTACTCTGTGTCTGGCACTCTTCCAGGTAAGAGACATGCAACAGTGAATGAGCTAGCCTGCTCTTGTGAAGTTGACATTTCAGTAAAGGGAGAAAGGTGATACACAAATGAATAAACAAGAAAATCTCAGGTGATTATACAAAAGAAGGAGAGGGATTCTCTTGAGGAGTGATTGGTACGACAGGACTGGCCATGGGATGATCTGGTAGCACAGTAATTCAGGAGGAGGGAGCAGCCAGTGCAAAGGCCCTCAGGTGAACAGTGGCCATTTGGAGGAACAGAAGGCAAGCCAGTGCAGCGGGAACATTGTGAAGAGCAGCGGGTGGCAGGACCGAGGACCTGCAAGGCAGGCGGGAGCCACGTGGTTTAGCTTCTTGTGGACCATGGTAAGCAGCTCGGCTTAATTTTACGGTCTTGGAAGACTTCGAAGGTTTTAAGGAGGGAGTGGAGATGAAAGAAGCAATTGGCTGCGTGGATGCTTTCAGAACTTCCTTTAGTGTCATGGTGTTCTTGCCTGGAACTCTGCCTGTAAATCCATGGCACCTAGAGTTCCTTTATTTAAAGTTGTACAGTGCATCAGTTAGTTTTTGCAGTAGTGCTCAGAACAGCCACCATTTATGTAGCTCATGATTCTACAGTTTGACGATTTGGGCTGGGCTCAGCTGGGTGGTTCTGGTTTGTACTGGGCTTGTTCCTTCTACTTCAGTCAGCTACTGACCTGCTAAGTGGCTCTGCTTCTCGGGCTCTTGGCTTGACTGGCTCTTGGCTAAGGCGATGTGGTAACAGGACCATGTGTTATCATCAAGCTAGTCTGGGCTTGTTCATGTGGTGGTTGGTTGTGTTTCAAGAGAATGATTAGAAGAATTGCCTCTTGAGTCCTAGACTTGGAAGTGGCACAGCATGATTGCTGCTGCAGCAGTCTCTTGACCCAGGTAAATCATAAATCCAGTCCAGATTGAGGGGTAGAGAATTAGACTCCACCTTGGGTGGAAGAGGCTATAACACCACATTGCATAGTAGTGGCTGGTTTCGCACACTTCAAGGTCTCTCTGTCTCTGAGTGATACCAAGAGTTCAAGATTGGTTCATACCAGGTGTCCTCATTGCTTTGTAAATCCTCTGTGGAGGTATCCTCACTGAGTTAGAGAACATAATTGGAAATAAGGGTGTGACCACAGTGCTGACTGACTTTGTTTTAAATTTAACAGCCTTGAATAGAAAGACACACCAGCATCCTAGTGGAGGAGATCATGTGAGCATATCACTTGCGGTGAAAAGTGTAATTATGTTAACATCACACCGCCTTGAAATTGTGTCTTAGAGTACTAAGTTTATCAAATGCTTTTTGATTGCATAGATGTATTTTTCATTGTTACCAATATTTATTGGGTCCCTGTATAGAGACAAGGTTTTAGTTCATTTCCAATACATTCAGAGGACGGCCGCTGTACTCAGCAGCACGAGGCTACCGTGCGTGTTCTTTCCACTGCTGGCTAACGGTGCACTGAGCGATTTCAGCAAGCCATGTCCTTCAGCCGTCATGTGGTCTGTCATGCTAATGAGGAGAACGAGGAGAATTAATAAGTAAAAGAGGAATGCTGGCAGTGGCTTATGGTTGGTTTTTTTTTTTCTTAAGAGTTCTATGTTTTTAATGGATTAAAATCCCAAAAAGTTAATAAAATAATAATAAAGAAAAACACGGAACAACTTCTTTGTTTGATAAAATTAAAACTTTGCAACCCATATGCTTCTCCTGCAGTTTAAATTGTCATAAATCCTGGAACATGGTTTTGGAGAGCAGTTTATTTATTAGTGTCTACTTTTCCTTAATGTAGGTAAAAGTATGATTAATGGAATAGGTTGTAGTTGGTGTATTGGACTTGTTGGCCCAATCAAGGGAGATACAGCAAACATTGTAAGGAGAGTATTTTTATCCCCTGGACACCAATGTAGGCAAAAATTATTCTTTCCAAGAGCATCTAAATTCTTGGTAATACCCTTGCAGATAAATATTATTGTGACTGGAAATTTAATCAATTTCTTGTTGATTGTTACTAGCCTCCTCTCCTCACCTTTATTCCCCTTTGGGCAGAACAGCTCACTTGTGTAATTTTGCCTTTCCCATCCTTGCCTGGAATTGGAGGCAAAATCTATATCATTTTAATGTTTAATTATGGTAAAGGTATGATATCTATAATCACTGGAAAAAATAAAGGAATATTCTTCATCACAGTTATTCAAATGGAAAATTAAAATGGAGTCACCCCCTCCTCTTGTTATTTCACAATAAATTACAGTTTGATCAAATATTTAAATGTAAAAAAGTCAAATATATTAAAAGAAAACAAATGAAATTTTTTTTTTTTTTGAGATGGTGCCTCACTCTGTTGCCCAGGCTGGATGGAGTGCAATGGTGCGATCTCACGGCAACCTCCGCCTCCCTGGTTCTAGCTGTTCTCCTGCCTCAGCCTCAGCCTCCCAAGTAGCTGGGACTACCGGCATGCGCCACCACGCTCAGCTAATTTTTGTGTCTTTAGTAGAGACAGGGTTTCACCATGTTGGCCAGGCTGGTCTCGAACTCCTGACCTCAGGTGATCCTCCTGCCTCGGCCTGCCAAAGTGCCGGGATTACAGGTGTGAGCCACCACGCCCGGCCCAAAATGAATATTTTTTAAAATGCTGCAGTGAGGAAGACATTTTCCAGCATGGCACAAACTCTAGAAGCTTGGGGAAAACAAATGGATACATTCAAATATTTAAAATGTCAAATTTTTTGTTTTTAATTTCTTTACATTAACACAGTTATGAGCATTTTCCCGTGTTACAAACTATCTCTTAAAACCTGAATTTTTCATGATTATTAATGCTCTATCATGTGAATATACCATACTTTAACCATCTCCCATATTTGTACGTTTTTTTCTAATATGTTATTTTAAATAATGTGGTACACATGCTTAATATATAAATGGTAGATCACAAATTATAACTTGAAGATAGCTCTTTCTAGCGGCTTGATTGCTGGATAAATGGGCATGAGTATGTTTGAGGATATTGATATGTAATGGAAGATTGTTTTCTGGGCGGGTCATTCTTAGCTACAGGCCCACCATAGATGTTGAGAAACCTAGGTGTACACATAAACCTGGACCACTATATTTTTAATTTTTGCTACCTTGAAAGATAAGATGTTTATTCACATTTCCATGATTATTAATTGACATGGAACAATGGGTAATGTTATTATTGACTTATTTTGTTAACTAATTACTTTTAATTGAACAAGAAGCACATGTAGTTGGTGGGAAAAGTTCTTAGATTGATGTGTTTCTTCCATTTCTTTCCAAAAATATTCTAAGTACATCAAGTATATGACTCACCCCCACCTTTTTTAAAAAAAACTGATGGTAGCTTACTGTGCACACCCTTTCCATTCTTTTTACTTAATAGAGTATCCTGGAAATCTTTTCTTGTCTGCACACATAGATTTACCTCTGTCTTTGTAACAGAAGCATAGTCTTCTATGTTCGACTATACAGTAATTTACTGTAAACTCCCTTGGCAATGAAAATTTGGTTATATTCACTTTTCACTGTTACAAACAACTCCAGTAAACATCGTTTTAAATATTTATTTTTATACTTTAGGATCAGTGGAATTGTTGGGGTTAATACTTGCGTAATCATATACATGTGCATTTTGATTGATACTGCCAATTGTATTTTATTCCAGTATATATTTTCATCAGCAGTGCAAGGCTGTGATTTGAATAATTACCCAAACCTGTGTATATGTTGTAATTATTACAAGGTTTAATCTTTAGTACAATATGACTTTATTTGTATTCCTTTAATTATGAGTATCGTTCATTATACATTGTTATAAATGAGCATTATTTCTCACTTTAGTTCCTCTTTTTGTGACAGTGTGATACTGATTTTAGAACTATTTAAAAAAATAAATTGCAGCATAGTTTTGGCATTGCTTTATTTTGACGATAATGCTGCTAGAATTAGTATACTCTGTTTTCAATGAGTGCTTTACATTGTGAACATAAAAAGGACGTTGAAAGTGAAAGAGAAAGGAAAGTACGGCCAGTTTTACTTCCAAATTCAGGAATTCTTGTTTTCCCAATTTTCTTACTGGAATGATTGGAAATTAAGGTGATTTGTGTTATTTTTGGTGGAGGTGGGCCGTAGGGTAATTGGGAAAGAGATGTCAATTGAAGGTTTTTGTGCTTTAGGAGAGTGAGGACTGTAAATGGCTTAGCTGCTGCTGAACTTTACAGACTGAACTTTCACAGAGCTCTTAGAGGTTCTCTACAAATGGAATCCTTTTAGGCACTTGTGTTATAAAATGTTGATTGTAACATTTGAAATAAGTGTGAGTTAATGGAAAGGGCCTTGTCTTTGCCTTTAGGAAGTTTCTACTTTGTTATCCTAAACCTGCCCCTTCACACCTCTGTACTTCAGGAACCCTTGAAAAGTTCTCTCTCCCATTGAAGTGAAACATGGGTCTCATCAGAGTATTCAAATTTGTCTCTGTATTTGTTACAGTGTCTGTGTGGAGGAGGAGAACGTTGGCTATTATGTCCTAATTTTACATTTGATTAAACCTGTGACTTTTTTTTTCTTACTGCTAATTTTTAAGTCTCCCCACATCAAAGTTAAAAAGAAAAATAACACAATGAATAATCTTATCTTTTCATTTATGAATTAGAATTTATTTTTGACTGTATAATGGATACTTAAATACATTTCACTTAGATATTTATACCTAAGCTAAACTCATTTTCTTATGACATTAGGCACAAAACATTGCATTTAATAAATATCTGCACAGTATTTATTATGAATGAGTGATGGTCTTTTTGAGATTAGAGCAGATAAATGCAGATTATAGGCAAAGAATTAGTATTTTAGCATCAATGCTGTGTCTTCCCAGTACAGTATCCAGTCTTTCCATTGAGAATTTCCCAAATTTTTCAGTTGTATATTCTTGTTTTAATCGGATTAACACAGATCTACTTCTAATTTATGTATAAGAATGATGGGTGGTTTTGTCTTATGAAATATAGTTATTGACTTTTCTGTTATTGTTGTTCAAATTTATGACAAAAGGAACAAAAAAGCTTAGCTGATTTCGGCCGGTAAGTTTAATGACTACTACCTGGAAATTAAGTGTGAAAGTTGAAATACTCCTTTGCTCCCACTAGAGGGGGATTCCTTCCAACTTAGGTAAAAATGCTCTTAGACTCAGCGTGAAAACCTTGTGTGACATTGATATTCCCTTTGTATTAAATTGAGGATAACCTCATGTTTTTAAAATCAGCTGATTTTCTGTAGTTGCTGATATTAAAATCTTACAGAAATAGAGGATGTAAAGGATACTTGAACTAGGGTACATATATATGTAAACAATAGTGCTTTTGAACAAAACATAAATACTTTTGTAGAGTTGCTGTAATTAAATTCGTTTAAAGGTATATTAAGAGTTTCAAAACAATTCCCCCAGCCCTCCTGGAGATAGAATCTGGGGTGAAGGGTGCCCTGGTGGGATCTGACTCCCTCCTCCCACCCACAAGGTCTGTCACTGTCTCTGTCTGCTGAAATAGCCACAGGGAGAGTTCTAAATTTCACACGAAAGCTTTGATTTGCTCTCACCTCAAGTTGTCAAATATATTAAAGCCTTATCTTTAAATAGAGCTCTATTTGCTATTGAATTTTCTTGTTACATTGACTTTTTATAATATGATAAAATATGCAGAACTCACTGAAGATTTTTTCTTGCAAAGTTAAACTGTAATATATTTTAAAAATAATTCTATTTGTGTTAAAAATAGCACATCAAGGGTGAGGTATGCAGATATGATCTATATGTGTAATTCACAAGCAAATGTCATACGATGTTCACAGTATTTAAGATTCAGCATATTTCCTGTTCGCGTTTTTCCTTTAAAGTCTCCAATGTTGATTAGAGGTTTTAATTTAAAAAATAGTTGAGGTTAGTAACCTAGCATTGTGAAAGTCAGGGCTTGGGAAATTCAAACATGTAATCTTTTTTCCTTTTCTTAAATGAAAAGTCTATAATAAGGCCTTGTTTCTAAATCTAACAGCCTTGGAAATTAAAATGTAAACAGAAATGCTGTCAGTGAAACTTACAATGATTTTTTCTACTATAATTGATCCAACATTTCAGTCTTTAGCCTAAAATCATATTTGGTATCAGCAACATATGGTTTTCTATGAAAACGAGGCTGCTCATCTCCATCCCTAATGGTAGTATCTTTCTTTTGCTTTCCGCACCAGGCTCTGCCAGTGCCAGGGGGTGGTCAGTGAGCCTGGCTTTCAGTGAAGCAGTTGGAGAAGACAATTTGCTTCCTTGTTTCTTCTTTTGACCCTTTTAACTTTCATACTGGATGAAAGTCTTATTGTCATGGCCTTCCTTTCTATATTTTCTGTCCACAAGGGAAGAATACAATTTTGTTTTATAGCAGGATACATTAGATAGGCCTATGTGCCTTCTACTTAAACACCTGCCACACATGCCTAGTTTTAAAAGGTTTAAAACTGACAGTGAAGCCTGTTACAGTCTGATATTGCCCACCCACCCCGTCTTCCTCTTTAAAAATACTCAGATGTGTTCTGTTGCCTTCTTTCCTTGTTCTTTTCCATCGTGTATTGGTACTTTGCAATAGTCAAAGTTAAAAGCTTTACACACGACACTGAATAATTATGTTTAAAAAACAGTAATTATCAATACACGTTTTGTTCCTCGCAGCTTTTTAAAATTCATGTTAATGAGCTCTGTCTTCTATGCATGAGACTGACAGGCAGTCTTGAAGTTTTGCCATCATTTCACAACTTGTTGCTTAGACACTGCCTGCCTTTTCCAGAGTATTGCTTTCAGGAACTCTTGCTCTGCAACATTCCAGAGATCCAGCGCTGCCCACTCTGATCTGAGCAGGACAAGAATCTACTGGTAGCACACATGCATAGTGAGATTGCTCTACAAAGGGCAGCTTCCCCTCACTGTCTGTCAGTAAAAGACCAAAAGGCATATGCAACATGTTGTGATTTAGGTGAGAAGGATGATTCTACTCACTCCCTGGATTGTTTTTGAGGAACTTCAACCACTACGTCCACATGATGGCAGATGGATTCATTTGATAGGAGCTCCCGCCGTCTTATAGAACTGAAACCCAGACGGTGACTGGGATTTCAGCCCAGCTCTTGAAGATACTCACAGATCTCTCTTTCTTGACAACTGACATAAATGGAATGCCAGTTTTCTCAGAACTCTCAATTCTAGGCCATGCCTGTGTCTGGTTTCTGTGGCTAGACTCAAAGAGGTTTTTGATAGTGCCTAAATTATGTTTTTCCTTATGATTTCAGGTTGAAGTCTTGGCCTCGGAGGATGCAGCCTTTGGACTCAAGGTGTGTAGTCTGGTGTAGTTCATTGTGGAGGTTTTTGTCAGTTCCTCCTAGGTGGATTTGAAGGTTCAACAGAGGGGACTTATTTTTTTTTTAATCATAATCAAAACACTGAGGTTTAAAAATCTTCACAAGTTTAAGATTTCTCTTATTGTGATTAAGATTAGACTGTGGTAGTATTTTCATTACCTTCTTTGTTGTGTAGAAAGAAACAATACAGGAAAACAAGAGTTTCGTTTAGCAGTAATTGACTTTTAAATTTCAATTCGGCATAGCACAAGATTTGCTTAAATTTTGCCCCAGTTTGGGGCTACTGAAATGTAAGATGTTATCAGAGTGCTGTATTTAGTTCATAGCTCCAGTGTTATTCATTGATTTATTAAACGTCCCCGCTTCAGACAGAACCCCTACCGTCCAGTTACAACCGGATTGAAAACCCAGCTCCTTCCCGTGAGGACCTCATGACCAGCTGACAGATCTAAGCCTATAAGCAGATAAATCATCCCACAGGGTAGCTGTATCCATGCAAGAAACATGCCAGAGGCTGCGAGTCGGGTGGAGTGGAGAATGGGAAGGCTTTCTAGGAGGTGGATCCCTGGGCTGAGTTTTGAGGGCTTAGGTTATACTGAGGCAAGAAAGGAGGGCAGGAGAAATGAGAGCTATTTTCGGGTAGAACAGCCACCATGAAAAATATCTGAGGAAGCTAAAAGTAGTTAAGTTTCTGTCTGTGTGGCAAGATCTGAGACTGGAGAGGTTAAAGATAACTTTCTCCTATAAAAAATGGTAAGCTATTAAAAGATTTTAAGCCAGGTAGTGGTCAGATTTGCAATTTAGACAGATGACTTTGGCCACTTTTTGGAGGACGGATTAACCAGAGACCAGTCAAAAGCAGTTGAATAGACCCAGTAAAAGTGAACACAGGCCTGAGCTGGCATAGTAGAAGCAGTGTCAGAGGGCAGAGGACTGGCAACCGCAGTGTGCAGGGTCTGGTGCCTGCTGGGGTATGCAGAGTAGGAAAAGAGGAGCTCAAGATGAGTCCAGGGACAATATGGTGTCACCCTGAGATAGAGAACACAAGAGGAAGAATTACAGATTTTTAAAAATTATAATCTTCCAGACCTGAATTGTCGATCAAATTACTTGCCTTTTGTACATATTTCCTGATAATTTTTAAATTTGTTAAATTTTGAGTAAATTGGGAGGCATTTGCCTTTTGTACATATTTGGTGATAATTTTTAAATTTGTTAAATTTTGAGTAAATTAGGAGACACTTATTAGAGAACTCTGATTTCATTTTCATATAGAGGTGTAGAAGTATAGGGTAGGTGCCATCAGTTACTTCGGAAGTCAGTTTGGGAGGATAGGAAGGTTGGTAGAAACTATTACAGAACACCAGGTATTGGTGATGACCCTCACGTGACTCCTCCATGTGCTACATCTTTGGCTTGAAACCAAGTTGGATTATTTATATATACATATATATATTTTACCATTTTTTTATCCTATATGCTTGACATTTCAAAAGCACAGTCTACCAGTTGTACAGTAATGACAGGTAAGATGACACTGTAATGCTACCAAAAGCAAAGTTTCTGAGGTTACAAATGTAGCACAATTTTACATTCATAAATATATGAAGAAAATTAAATTAATACTTTATAAATACTTGATACAACTCAAGTTTATAACCCTAATAAATTTTTTATGTTTCTGTATCTGCCAAAAATTACTAAAAGAAATTATTCTAAATAGAACCTAATTCAGTATTATTTACAGTATTTAACATATGGTTGTCTTGTGAATTTTTCATTTTTTATTTAATGCCCAGCATACATGTGGAATATTCATTGCATTTTTAATAGACCTGTAGGGTCAGTTCTTAGGAGCTCATTTTCATAATCCTTCATACTTACTGAGTATGCAGCAACGTTATAGAAGATTAGTGTAGCCAGCAGCTCTCATAGTCTGCCCTGCTGTGTGAAGCTTCCGTGTTTGTTCTGTGGCCAACCTAACAGGTTCCTTTTGTAGCCTTAACTTTTTTTTTTTTGAGACTGGGTCTCACTCTGTTGCCCAGGCTGGAGTGCAGCGGCGCGATCATGGCTCATTGCAGCCTCAACGTCCCAGGCTCAAGCGATGCTCCCGCCAGCCATGTGCCACCATGCCTGGCTAATTTTTTATAAAAATGCAGGTCTAACTATGTTGCCCAGGCTGGTCTTGAACTCCTCGCCTCAAGTGATCCCTGGTCTTGGCCTCCCAAAGAGTAGTGTTGGCATTACAGGCGTTAGCCACTGCTCCTGACCTCATAGCCTTAAATTTAATAAGTTGAAACAACAGTGAAAATTTTTTTCAACAATCCAGTGACTTTCACAGTAATAGATGCTTTTAGCTTTTGCTGATCTATACTGAAGTGTTTATACATATAATTAAAAATGGGAAATTTGACATTTCTTTTTTTTTTTTTTTTTTTGAGACGGAGTCTCGCTCTGTCGCCCAGGCCGGACTGCGGACTGCAGTGGCGCAATCTCGGCTCACTGCAAGCTCCGCTTCCCGGGTTCACGCCATTCTCCTGCCTCAGCCTCCCGAGTAGCTGGGACTACAGGCGCCCGCCACCGCGCCCGGCTAATTTTTTGTATTTTTAGTAGAGACGGGGTTTCACCTTGTTACCCAGGATGGGACATTTCTTTTTACTGCTTCATTATCTGGAAGTCGGCAAGTATATTTTTGAATTCCAAAAGCTACCTACCTTCCTTCCTTCCTTCCTTCCTTCCTTCTTTCCTTCCTTCCTTCCTTCCTTCCTTCCTTCCTTCCTTCCTTCCTTCCTTCTTTCTTTCCTTTCTTTCCTTCCTTTCTTTCTTTCCCTCCCTCCCTCCCTTCCTTCCTTCCTACCTTCCTACCTACCTACCTTCCTTCCTTCCTTCCTTCTTTCTTTCTCTTTCTTTCTTTTTCTCTCTTTCTCTCTTTCTTTCTCTCTCTTTCTCTCTCTTTCTCTCTCTTTCTCTTTCTTTTCTCTTCCTTCCTTCCTTCCTTCCTTCCTTCCTTCCTTCTTTCTTTTCTTTCTTTCTTTCTTTTTTCTGTCTTCTTTTTTTTTCTTTCCAAGACGGAGTCTCGCTTTGTCGCCAGGCTAGAGTTCAGTGGTGCGATTTCAGCTCACTGCAACCTCTGCCTTCCAGGTTCAAGCAATTCTCCTGCCTCAGCCTCCTGAGTAGCTGGGACTACAGGCGCGTGCCACTAATTTTTGAATTCTTAGTAGAGACGGGGTTTCACCATGTTGGCCAGGATGGTCTCGATCTCTTGACCTTGTGATCTGCCCGCCTCGGCCTCCCAAAGTGCTGGGATTACAGGCGCAAGCCACTGTGCTCGGCCAGAATTACCTTATTTCATAAAGGTCTAGGTATTCAGCGTTAGGTTTTTAAACGCATTCACAATTGGTGTTTCTTCCTGTTTTTGTAAGCACTGGGAAAGGTAACTCAAGTGTCTAAGTCACTGTGGTAACACATGGCACCCTCTTGGCAAATGCACAGAACATTTCTGAGCCTGCTGGAGTGTGTGTCCTGTGTATGTCGCCGCTCCTTTTAGTGATGATCTTTAATGATCCTTTATCTTTCTGTACTT